>NC_000006.12:119616244-119919274 GCF_000001405.40 Homo sapiens
CGTTCTTAATTAGGATTTTTTTTTTCTGCTTGAGATTTTTTTTTTCATTCTAGCCAGCTCATTGTTCCTTTTAGAATGTTTAAAAATATTTATTATAGCTAGGATGATTGGTTATTTTCAACAAAAGATTGTTCCAGATGCTTAACTCAATGTATTACAAAAACAGCAGCAAAACCATATTTGAATCTGAACTATAGGAATTATATTGGCCGTATTTGAAGTATATTTGTATTGTTCTTTTCATTGGTTTGGATTTTTCTTTATTTTTTCCGTCTTAGCTTATGTTGATCCCTTCAGTTATTTTTCTTTTTCTTTTTATTTGTCTACTTAAAGCCCACCAATTCTAATACATAAATGTTCTATGTAGGTATTTCTTATGTCTGGGACTATGTCATAGTACCTGAAGAGCCAAGACAGTTATTTTTGTCTCTTTGATTCCCAAAAAATCTTTGATTCAAAATATATTTGGCTAAGGAGTGTCTTCCAGAAGGTTATAATAGTATTGTTTAAATAATATTGCTAAGCCGTGATAGCATTTACTTAAAAAAGTAATACAGCATTTTAAAAGATCAAAGTAAGTTGATTTAGTCTCCTCACTCAAGGAACTCTGAAAGAGTCGATTAAAATCTTAATTTGTAAATCTATAAAATCTGTTCATATGCAAACACTAGAAATATGTAGGTTTTACTTCACTATAAGAGTTTACAGAGGCATGAGATTTGTTCAACAACCTGAAGTATGAGCCACTTAAACATAACTTAGATGCTTATGTTACTAGAAACTTGATATAACTTCTGAAAGGATGGTTATTCAAAAACTCATTCATCACTTAATGCCTAAAGTTCATTCATCATGAGTACTTTATGTAATTCTTAAAAAGAAAAAATAACTTTATCAGAGATTCAAATTTCTGCAAGGCACATTGTGATATGTCCATATGGTGCATTTTGCAACTAACAAAAGAAGAAGGAAATAACATCCTAATCTGTTTCATTCATTCATCTGCTCTCTTTATGTCACTCAGGAGATTTTCAACAGAAGAGCTTCAGTGATGGTGGAAGCTGCAAAAATAATGTCCAGAATGCATTATTGGATGCAAATTTTAGAGAAGAGAGAGGAGCCTAAATATTTCTTCCTGTTTTGCTCTGCATGGCTAGGTCTATGTTCCTATCAGAAAGGGAGAGAGGTTTTCTCATAATATTTTCTATAGGAAAAAACAAAACAGGGGTTTTATTTTTTGCAGTGGAAGTCTCAGGTTAAAATACTAATTTAGAGTGTTTGGGGACAAACTCTTATAGAAAACGATATAGCTCAAAATATAGTAAGGCAATTGAATGAGCATAGTTCATCTAAACTAGCATGCCCATTAGAATATAATTCAAACCACATAGGAAATTTTAAATTATCAAATAGTCACATTAAAAAAGGTGAAAATAAACAGATAAAACTGACTTTTGTACTATATAATTTTTGCCCAATGTACACAAAATATTATTTCAGGATGTGAACAACATAAACTATTAGTGAGATATTTTACATTCTTTTTTTTTGTACTGAGTCTTCAAAACGCAATGTGTATTTTACCCTTACAGCACATCTTAATACTAATATCACAAATATTTTTCTGCATTTAGATTTCATAAAACATACAGCAGAAAAAGTAGATTTACATACCTGAGTTGTTCCAAAATTACTTAAAATTTCCCCAAAACTGAAAGCAATACCAGTTTTTAATTTAAATCTCAATTAAAATTAAAATTAAATAAGATCAAAATTATACTAGCCACATTTGAAGCATTCAAGAGCCCCCTGAGCTAGAGGCTCCTTTATTGAACATTATAGCTCTGAGCCAGTGTTAGATCTGAGAAACAAAACCTTATTTAGTACATACAAAAGATGTTTAGACTAATGTTTTGATAATGACTTGGCAAACTTAATATAACTTATATAAAATTGCATAATTTATATCAAGTATATGACAAGTCATGCAGCAATTTTTATGGTGATCTTGTCCTCAAGTCTAAAAGTTCTATGTCTAATTTTGGCAGGAGCATAGAGGCAGCCACTTGTTCTAGATTTGCTATTTTCAGGCTAATCAGAGTCAGAGCTCATAGTCAGCAACAACAAAGCGAAATCTATATTAGGTGTGGGGCCTGGGTCAAAACCTCGGAGGTCAGGGTCCAGGGTGGGGTGAGGCAGTGGCAAAGAAGCCACAGAGAAAAGGGGCTTGCCTTTCACCCCAGAAATACTAAGGCTCAGAATGGTGTTAACCCCTAATTTCTAACTAGCCTGCTACACTGTACTGTCAGGTCTGTGAAGCTAGCTGGTAGGCAACCCGGCAATCAGTATTGTTTATTAACAAATTGATTAATGAAACAAATAAACATATTGTACCTCCCAGGCTTCATGTTGGAGGTGACTTACCTAGAATCACCAGATAAGATATTTTGATATTGCATCTCTGCAGATAAAATTTTGAATGACAGAAGAGAATACACATCTGCTAAAATTCCCAATTTGTTTAACCAAGGCTACATAACATAACCTCATGGAGTGGGGTTACTATATGGAGCAGCAGCAGAAGCAACATATTTTGCATAGCTTTTGCCTTGCCCCTTTTTTTACATGAGGTATGCTGCAGCTGGTGATAATTTCTTCTCAGCTAAGATCTTGCCAAAGTGAAAATGAAGGTGGGTTTTTTATAAGCCACTGTTCTTTTTACTGGGGCTTATAAAACTATTTTAGAAGAATTACACTAACAATGTTGGCACTTCCATTTAAAAAATGTCTAAAAACATTAGCCAGTCATTTTCAGTTCTTGAACCAATCTAATGTCAACAAGTCCCCTTCCTTGCCAGGGCCCAGGTAACTCTGCATATATTCTGCTCTCTCAGTGAACTGGAAAGTCCATCTCCCCATAGATATGTTGCCCAATTTTGTTGATGTTGTTCCTCTCAGTAATTTCTCTTTATCCTTTGACTAGAATATGGAATGAAAATATGGGGAAAGAAGGTGGCAGAGAGCCTTAATTGACAAAGATCCCATTTCCATCACCTAGCAGAATGGGCACTCAAAATATAAAGTAAATTAAGCCATAAAAGAAAATTATTTCTCTTGAACACCTAAGATTGTTGACTTAAGATTAACCATACTTGTTACAAGTGGTAGCCTGTCCAGAATTTCTAAGAATCCTCATTGTCACCCATCTCTGAACCATAGACTTATTATAAACCTGAGTCCAAAGTCACCTAGAGGCAATGGATGTTATTCCGTGAGGGATTTCATGTGTGACAGATGAGGGGGACTTAGGGGGTCACTACAGATTTCAGTGAAAATTTTAGTATGAAATGTCCTAGATTTCCCTTTCAAAGGAATTCGTAGATATAGGAGAACTGGCAAAAAGAAGGAATGTAGAAGGTGATTTTTAAGGCTATCATGGACTCTGAATTTCTAAAATAGCTAAATCTCTTCCTGGCAAAAGAAGAATCCTTCTAGCAGTGTCAGCTAAACTGCTCCTCGCCGCCCATTGAATCTGCTGTAAGCATACCAGCCTGCATATATGGGGAGAGGCATTCATTTTATGATATGTTTTTTCATTTCCAGAAATTATTTTTAAACGTGTTCTTCCTCCACTTAAAATAGAATTTGTAAAGCATTCACTGCCACAGGACAAAGCACCAAAACACAGAAAGGAAACTTGGGATTTTTAAAATCTAGGCTATTGAATGTCAAAAGTCAAGACTGCATAGTAGGTCCTGACCAAACAACAGATTCAGAAGAATATGCATTTTATTAATAAGAACTGTTTTTCCCAACCTAAAATCTAGATACATTTTTCCAAATGAGAGGCAAGGGTAAGAGGCAAAGGTATCTGTAGGGCCATAAGACAATGTAGATTTTATTGGGTCCTTGTGAAGGGGCATCGTGTTGGCCTATCTTAAACAGTCCTGTGCATGAGATATATAATATGATGACAGTGGCTTGAACAGTGGTGGAAAAGGGTCGTATATGGACATGTTTTAACAAAATAGACAACGAAATTTGCATACGGATTGAGCAAGTGGTGTTAAAAAAAAAAAAAGAAAGGAGTCAAGGATGACCCTAAGGTTTTTGACTTGAGTTTTAGCAAGGAATTGCTAACATTTGTGCCACAGAAGGCTGCAGGCAGAAGCAGATTTTTTGTTGCTGTTGTTTTATTTTTTTGGTGAGGGAGTGAAGATCAATGATTTAGTTCTAGGCAAGTTAAAAATGAGGTGGTCATGGCCGGGCGCGGTGGCTCATGCCTGTAATCCCAGCACTTTGGGAAGCCAAGGTGGGCGGATCACGAGGTCAGGTGATCGAGACCATCCTGGCTAACGCGGTGAAACCCCCCGTCTCTACTAAAAAAAATACAAAAAAATTAGCCAGGCGTGGTGGTGGGTGCCTGTAGTCCCAGCTACTTGGGAGGCTGAGGCAGGAGAATGGCGTGAACTCGGGAGGCGGAGCTTGCAGTGAGCCAAGATTGCACCACTGCACTCCAGCCTGGGCCACAGAGTGAGACTCTGTCTCAAAATAAAAATAAAAATAAAAATAAAAATGAGGTGGTCATTAGGTATCCAAAGGGAGTTGTTGAGTAGGCAGTAGGCCAGGAGTCAACATAAAAATTTGAGAGTCACTGTCATATAGGTAGGGGGTAAAGCCCTGAGACTGGGTAAGGTAGCCAAGAAAGTGAATGTAAATAGAAAACAAAGAAGAACAAAGAAACACATCATGGGACATTCCAAAATTCTGAGGTGTATGGAAGAAAAGGATCCAGTAAAGAGGATGGAGGAAGAGCAATCAGTGAGGTAACAGGAAAACCAGGAGTCCCCTGAGGGACATACTCACCCAACAACCCCCACACTCTAACACTTTCTGGTGTAATCTTTATTACTTGAAAAGAAGCCATTTTATACATAGGAGGAGAAAAAAATGGAAAAATGTTGCCAGTCCTCCCTACCCCAGCCCCAAACACACTTTGCTGGTTTTCCATGAAAATACATGGATTTGTGGGCTGATTTTGTCTATATAAAACCCCCAGGTCTGATTCAGTATCTGCTCTTGGCAGATCAATCTTTCTGTTTGCTGCCTGCCTTCTCCATGAGTCACTGGTAGAATTTTTTGTGGCTTTAGGAGAGGCCTCTCATAATTCAAGTCCAAACGATGAATACCTCAGTCTTTCTATATACTGGAATTGTCTCATGCTACCGTTTCCGGACATTTTTACAGCTCTGCTTCTTGAACTGTTTCTCGTCATGAAGTTTCCTAAACACATCTCAAAAAAGGATCTCCCATTCTTAATGAATTTTCTGCTTCTAGAATAAACTTGATTTAGTTAAGACAGATAATGTTTCTCATTCTTTTTCCCTTGTAGTAACTTCTTGTTTAGGTACGTTTGAATTCTACATATAAAGAGCACATGCTAACAAATTATTACTAAATCTATTGATTCAATATCTGAATGCAATATTTAAAAAATAAGATAGACTATTTAGAAAATAAATGAGGATTAGAAGTCACGCCATTTTCTAGTATATTATGGAGGAACATTTTATCTGAATGAAAGAGTTCTTGAGCCCAATGGCTCAAGTGGATGCATCAGAAGCCTTAAAGGTAATCAAATGGATTCTGACGCTTATGAAAAGTTGACTTCTAGAGAACAGAATGCCCTTTGCTGGCTCACTGATAAGGCAAAACTAGTAACTATCAAAAGCATTCCCTGCCTGTGCAATCCTTTGTATTTCCTCCATGCCTTATTTTGACCTTTTTGCCCCTAGGGAATAATACATTTAAGAACTAACATCATTTTACAAAAGGACAGAGCCATTTCTCTTCTTTTTATGCACAAATTCAGTTACCAATATATTCAGAACACAAATAACTGACCCTGAAAATAGAAAAAAACAATCTTTTAAAATCTTTCATAGTATTAACTATTTGTGTATTACACAGAAGTGTGTCTTTCAATGCATATAGCAATGTTGTCATTCATTTGAGCTCTGGAAGGAAAGGATTATGTCTCCTTCATGCGATTTGTAAAATACCTAAGCATCGTATTTTACCTCTACTTGAATTAAAATATAACTTAGTGATGACATTATGCTTGTATACATTAATGATATTTAATACTGCATTGAATAATAATGGGTATTTACCTGTCAAATGCAGACCATGTCTCTTTGTTTGATCACCATTTCTACACAAGTTAATAATTAGGATGATTTTTCTATCTTTTCTTTGCAGAAATTGCCTTCAAGCCTTAGCTAAATCTTTAGCTGTATCTTGTGCACTGTGACATAGTCTATGGCACTGGAGTCTGACCATTATAGTATTTGCCAAGCAGACACAAAGGTTAATTGAAAATCTGTAATAGCTACAATACTACACGGACAAAATCCTCATAGCTATTTTCTTCATTTATAAAGGCTTGAGCCTGTCTTACCATTAATGTCAGAAGCACAAATGATTCCTCTGAATGGGATTTTAGAGCACAGCAATCTGCAAAGAGGAAAGAGTTGATGCATGTGGATTGCTTTCCAGGAGGTATGCAATTCTTTTCACAGGCTTACTTCAAAAACGCCTTCCTTACATTTGCTTACAACAGATAAATATGTACTAATAGTGGAGAAAGAAATCAATTGTAAGACTAATGTAAGGTATAAGTAAGTCACATTTAGGTTATCTTGCAAATCATCAACTTTTAATTAGGCCTTTCAGATGATGTTCTAAGATGAATATTCAATTTTGTATGTGAGAACAAAAGGTGCCGTGACCAAAAATAAATAAATAAATAAAACAACGAAAAACAAAACAAAACAAAACAAAAAAACAAACAACAGAACTAAACTGAGAGCTCACAAATCTTGAGCCTTAGTGTTTTCATGATGTTTTCTCACATAATACTCGGAGAATTCACCCTCTGGGTTGAGACGGTCAATTGAGACTTGAAAGGCTCTGATTTTGAGATTGTTTGCTTACTGACATTTGTTCTTGGCTAAATCACAGAACCAGTTCTGCTTTATTTTCTCATGATAAAAGAAAGATGATCCTTGACACCTACTTAGCTCATGAGATGCCATTAGAGTACCTTTGATTAATGTGTTATTGAAGAACGTTTTTGATATCTTAAAAATCTAGGAAAAAGTCTCTATTACTGTTATGTTGTTGCTATTGAGTTTTTGTGTATATAGGAAGAATTTATGTTAGGTCTATACTTGACTCTATAATTCTTTGAAAATCACATGAACTACAATATACTCTTTGTTTTATAAAGAACAACTAATGTAGAATATATGAAGTCAGGAAGAATTGCCCCTTGTGGCAGTCCATTAATTAATCAAATATTTTTCTTATCCTTCTGCTTAAATTTGAAAAGTATTTGCTTCTTTTAAAATCCCTAACTAGTTCCTGTCATCAGTTTGAATTAGAGCCTTTAACTTCACAGTAGAGAAATTGCCATGTAAATACTTTAAGTTGTAAGTTACCATCTTAAGCCAACAAGTGATTATCCTTCACAGTAGAGCTACAAATGGTGTCTTAATTAATGAATATCTTAAGTGCCTTTCCCTGTTTCTGTGACCTAAAGGAAGAAGGCCTAAATAGATGAGATAATCTCTCAGAAAAGAAAAAAGGAAAACCGAATAAAATACATCTGAGAACTAATCTCAAGTGTGCTCAAGACAGTCTCTCAGTCATTCGATTCACCTTGCAATTTGAAACATTGTAATGCTTTTGTGCTATTACTGCCCATTTTGAGTGTTTCCTAAGATTTCCATTTCTTTTGTTACTACTTTACTGCTGAGAATTGCTTTATTCTGCGATACTGAGATTATTTTTCATTGTGCTTTTCCTTACAACTTCATAACTGTAGAATTTGTTCCCCTCAGCAGAAACTAGTTCCTTGTTATTTTCCCATCTTCACTTATTTCCAATATACTAGTCAGCCAGGCAACCAGTAAAATGAAAGGCCTGTTGGCATCATTATGTGTGAGAATTTCTATGGGAAAGATTTTCTTTCACTCACTTTTTTTTATGGTGCCTAAGATGAGGACATGAGGCAAAAAACTCAAATTGGATTTTTAAAAATAAAAATATAGGAAAAGGCACCAGCTCACAAACACAGGAGTCTAAAATGCCATCTTCATTCTCAGAACTGAGTATAGTTCTCAGATTGAATTCAAAGGGTTCTTCTTTTTGGGGTCAACTCAGCTTAGAGAATAGAAGGCATCATATGGAACAGGCTCTAAATCAATTATACCAATCAGAGTTTGTAGTGGAATGGTTTAGAAATAATAAAAATCTAGATTAACTGAGACCCAGTTAACTGGAACTTTCAATTATCCATTTTTTAGTCTGCTTTTTCTCTTTTAGAAGAATAGCTAAGTGATGATTAAACAAACTTATAAAGTTAAAAATCCTTTCTTTTGTTATAGTGGAGGAAAATAAGGCCTATGGCCTAATGATTACTACCCATTTTTCTGCCTAAATTCAAAGTTCTAGCAACTATCTCTTATTAGAGATGTGTTAGAACAGGAAAACTCCTAATTTGAAGATATCAAAGATCATTATAAAGTCAGTCTACTTATCTATAATTTTACAGATATATCTGCCATACTGTACAAAAGGGACTAGACAAGGTGCCAAGACTGGATTGAAGGTCTACCACTATCTAAGTGGCACTGGGCAAGTGACTTCCCTCCTGTATCTATCAAAGTCCTCGTCTGTAGAATAAGGTTGATCCTATCCCTTTCAAACACTAAAATGATTTTTTGAATCTGGTAAGCACTGATCTTCAGAACGGTCACCCCACGGCACTGCCAGATTCTCAACAAAGATGAGTGATTTTTTTGATTCACAATAGTTATAATGTATCATGTGCCAGGGAAATTGCATACATCATCCTTTTTACAGAGAAAACAGCTCAGAGCGGCTAGATAACTGAACCCATGTTCACCTTGCCAGTTACAGCATCAGAATTGGGATAAGGACCCAGAGCTAAGTCTTTTTCACAAAATCAATAGATACATCCCAATGACTCTGTTGAATTTGAAATACTGAAATGGGAAATAAATATGAATGTAAACTAAAGATGTATTGAAATACCCATTAAAATCCCATGAATTTGATCTGAAGTTTAGGGATTGCAGGAAATAGTGTAATTAATTCAACATAAATCAACGATACAATATAATGTGATAGGTTTTTAATAAACATTTATTCAGTTTCAAATATACAGTTATATAGTTTGAGCATCCAAATAGGTGTTACTGCTTCTAAATTATGATTACTTGCTTCATTGTTGTTTGGAATAGTCTTAGAGGATTTTATCTAAAGCCAACAACACATTTAAAAAAATGTACCAGTCTTGATGAAAAATTCTCATCTTTTGAAGATGACTTATATTTTGATATTGGTGAAATGTTGATAAATCCCTTAAGAGAAAAGGCTATATCTTCCTTGTGTTATGTCTCACCATGCCTATCCTAGTGTCTTTTACTTTATAGACAGCCAGTAAACAATTTTTAAAAATTTGATTTTTTTTTTTTTTTTACCTTACTAAAGTGTGAGAACTTTGTAAAATTCTCACTTTTAATGGATTTATATGGCAGGGCAAGGAGAGTTGTTTGGGATAAGACATTATGTTTGTTATTTTGATTATATCCAGGAATATTCTTTTTTGTCTTTTTGAGAAGGAGTCTCCCTCTGTCGCCCAGGCTGGAGTGCAGTGGCGTGATCTCGGCTCACTGCAAGCTCCGCCTCCCGGCTTCACGCCATTCTCCTGCCTCAGCCTCCCGAGTAGCTGGGACTACAAGCGCCCGCCACCACGCCCGGCTAATTTTATTTTTGTATTTTTAGTGGACACAGGGTTTCACCGTGTTAGCCAGGATGTTCTCGATCTCCTGACCTTGTGATCCGCCCACTTCGGCCTCCCAAAGTGCTGGGATTACAGGCGTGAGCCACCGTGCCTGGCCAATATCCAGGAATATTCTTAAACCACTGTTAGCAACTACCAAAACTGAAGTACGTTTTGTCTGATATTTGTATCTGGATCCACAAAGGCAGGTTTCAGAGGCAAGAACAAATACTTGCCCCATAGAAAATGGGTTTCCTCAGCCTAAGTATGCAACAATGGATGAACAGATTTTGCAAATGTGATTTGTATACACAATGGAATCCTATTCGGCCTTTAAAAATCAGGAAATTCTGTCATTTGCAACAACATGGATGAACCTAGAGGACATTATGTTAAGTGAAACAAGCCAGGCACAGAGACATGAATACTGTATGTTCTCACTTACGTGTGGAAGCTAAAAAAAAGTCAAACTGATAGAAGCAGAGAGTAGAACAGTGGTTCCAGGGGTGGTAGGGGCAGGGGATTGGGGAGTTGCGTGGAATATGGAATATGTAGAAAGAGGAGATGCTGGTCAACAAGTACAAATTTATAGTTAGGAGCAATAAGTTCTGGGGTTCTATTGCACAACAAAATGACTATAGTTAATTAAAACGTATTGCATATTAACAAAAGAAAATGGGTTTCCTTTTTATTGGAAACATGAAAATAATACATTTACTATTTATATAGTCTTTTAGGTCACAGATGCATAGTGGGCCTTCTCATTTTCCATGTGACTCATTAGATGAAAAGCGTGCAATAAAAAATTTAAATTAAAAATGGCTGTTTATGCCAGGAGGTTAGCTCACCTTGTGAAAATCCTAAGGATGACCTGAGGATGACTTGCCTTGTAAAAGCTGCACTTGTGGGTTCTACACCTGTTATGAATAGGCAGTGACTTTGTCTATCTGTGCTCAAATGTCATTCCCAGAAACAAGCTCATGTAGGCCACAGGACACCTGAGCAATTTAGACCTAGGCCTGAGGGACAAGACATTTTCTTTGATTTTACTTGATAACAGTCACTCCCCCTTTATTTTCTCGTGGGCAAAACAAACCCAAATGTATATTTTTTATGATGGTGTTTTAAACATTTCAAATTATTTATTGCAGGTCTGAAGGATTTTAAGTAAAGGTAGAACCCTCAGAGATCCCCATGATCCTAGAAGGACAAGAAGAATTTTTAGGGACAGAGGACACTACGTTATTTGCCACTAAAGGAGAATCACATGATTATTTTGCAAACTGAAAAGTCATATGCTCATATTTTTCCTCTGGAAGAGTCCAAGCGTGGGTATAAGGCTCCCATTAAGGTTAATCTTTCTTAAACAGAGCTGGAAGGGTCAGAACTGCTGTGGCAGATAGGCAGATTCTGGGTGTTATTCCTCCTGCCTGTGAATCAGCACATTCTATTATGTTTGAAGGAATCACATTTTGCTGCTCCTGCAGTCTTGCAGCATTTCCAATTAAAAGTGCCTGCTCTACTGAACAGGTTTTGTAAGTTTTCAAAAGACACTTTTGTGTTTATTTTCCTTAATTTGTGTTTTTAAGGTCTTTTTTTTTTATATTGCCTTTAGCAAAGTAGTAATATGGAATGCTTATGTATACTGCTGCCAAAGGGCTTATAGCAGGAGTACGTGGTTTCTTACACAAATAGATATGAAACATTTGTTGGAATCTAGGAAGTTTCACCTGGACCAAAGGCTTTTTGAGGGCAGTGTTTGGAGTGAAGGCATGTAGATTGGGGTGAACGTCGATCTAAGACAGATTTTAATAAGGAATTGGAAATATTGAAGTACAATTCAGGAGAGAGTAGGAGCTGAAGCTGGAAGGAGTGAAATAAAAGGAAGCAGTAACAGATAAAGGAGAATCTGAAATGAGCAGAGTGGAACTGAAAAGGCCAAATTGTGGGGAGACTTGGGCACCTATCAGTGAATTGAGACATCTGGGGCTGACGAGATCTGACTCAGTCACTGCACTTATTTTCCCAGATGTTGCAATGGAACACAGGGACATTAAGGCATTTTCCCCAGATCATATGATTGAAGGATGATGGACTTGGGATTCAAAAGCAGGAGATCTGAAACAATTTTACTTTCACTGTAAAAAATGCATTTGGGATATGTGTCCTGCGTTATACCGTCTCTATTTTGATATGAAATTCCTCCATGATCATACTCTCATTTGTGCCCCTTACTGCCAGCAAAAAAAAAACTTCATTAGCTATTTGTGTTTGATACGTCTCTTCATCTTGAAGAGATTGTGGGTATTTTCTGCCTTCTACCTTTCCTGTGCTGTGGGATGATGGCCCTCTGGTGATGATCTCACCTTATGACTCAAATTCCTGCAACTCCTTTCTAAGAGTAATTAGCCTGGGACCTTGTTCCTAAGCTCAAACCCCAGGCTTTCCCTATCTCTCTGTCTCATTGCTGCATCAGCCTACTTCTGACAAGTAGAATATATTACCAAAGGTAGCAGAGGGAGCAATAATTTGAATACCTTAAAGAGAAGGAAATAACCTTATATGCAGGCAGAGGGGACTAAATTAATATTGGGGACCAGCACTATTTCCCTGAGAGATGATTTTTATTTGTTTAACAGTGTTTATGCATAGGAGTGTTATTTATAATAGTTTCCCTTAGAATACCCCTGAGTTCTCTTTCACCTTCTTAATCTATTTGTTTGATTATGTTGGCTTGGCAGGAGAAAGTGTTTGAACACAGTAATGTTCAAATATTCTTATTTGAAAAACAAGCCAGCAGAACAAACTATACCCGACTTGTGTTACTACATTCATAAATCTCCTTATTTTGAAAGTCATAATATGTTTATTACCACTGCCCCTTGATCTCACCCACTCCAAGCTTTTGCGAGAATATAAAGGTTACTGTATGTTAGATACAAGAGAACGCAATACTGTACATTTGTTTCACCAATTTATTGCCATAATATGAATAATATTAAAAGGAAATTGCTGGTCAACAATGGTGAATAGATTGTTAGAAAAACTCTTCAGTAGATAACAATTATAAACACTGAACAAAATGAACACACCACACACGCGCGCGCACACACACACACACACACCTATTTAAAGGCATGGAGGGCAACCCTAAGCAGGCAGCAACTGAAGGTATTTCTGCCTTAAAAGAGGGCAAGTGCTTAGAGTGCAGTCCATATTTACAAGCATCTTTCTCCTGAGGACATCCCATTGAGTGTGGCCTGCAAAGAAGCCAGAACTCAAGGAGAAAGCTGCATTTTTCTCAGCTTGAAGTGTCAGTGGCAGAGTTTGGAAGTGCAAGAGAGACTGGTAATTAAAGAGGAAACTCCTGGAGTAAATGGAGCCCTCAAATCTGAATATAATTTCCCTAAAATACTTGGCTGAACCCTACAGAATGCTTTTAGAGGACTCCAAGCTCCAAGGAACTCAGCAGAAAACCACAGATAGAGAGCAAAAAGGATTTATGAGGGATTTTAGCAGCTAGATGTCACAGATGAGAAAAGGTTGATGTTTGAATCCCACCAAATTAGAGCACCTTGGTAAAGTAAACCAAGCCTCCGCAAGTTCAAAGTGATAAGCCAGTAATCCCACTGCCTGTTTGAATACAAGTCAATACTCTTTACAAGAAGAAAATAGAATTCAGTGTCTGAAATGTTTTATCTAAAATCTCCAATATATAATAGCAACGATAAGATATGCAAAGACATATATGATTCATTGTTGAGGGGAAAAAAAAGCAGTCCATAGAAACAGGCTCAATCATGACCAAGAATTTGGAATTAGAAGACAGGGACTTTGAAGTTGCTATTTTAAATACGATAAGGATCTAAAGAGAAGGTCATAATGGTTTAAGAGACAAGGAAATTCAAGTAGAAAAGCATAATTGACAAAACTAACCAAATAGAAAATTAAAAACACAAAACCCACAATATCTGAAATAAAAAATTTACTGGATGGGCTTAATTGCAGAGTGGAGAGAGATAAAGAAAGGGTCACCACACTTGGAGATAGATCAACGAAAATTATCAAATGTGAAAAACAGAGAGAAAAATTATTGAAAAACAATCCAAGGCTCTTCTAATCTGTGAGACAATATTAAACAGTCTCACATACTTGTAATTCAATTTCCGGAAAAAAAACAGAGGCTTTTCCCTAAAGGACACTCCCTTTTCTGGTTATCAATAAGGCAGAACCCAAACTGCTGTAGTCCAAGTTTGGCCAAAAACTTTAAAAATTTGTTGAAAAATATCAGTTTAGAAACAAGAATCTCAGCAATAATTTACATAGAATAAATACAAATAAAACTATATAGAGGCACATGTGGAATATTACTGAAAATAAATGAAAAAGAAAAACTCTTCAAAGCAATGAGAGATAAAAGACACATTGCCTATGGGTAAACAACTGTATGATTATGATTGGATTCTTATTAGAAACAATGGGGACTAGAAGCCAATGGAATGACATTTTTTAGAACCTTGATCAAATAGTATTTTTATTTTTAATTTTTTAATAATTTCAACTTTTATTTTAGATTTAGGGGGCACATGGGAAGGTTTGCTACATGGGTATATTGCGTAATGCTGAGGTTTGTGGTACAATTGATCTCATCACTCAAGTAATAAGCAGAGTACCTAAGAGTTAGTTTTTCAACACCCTCTACCCCCTCTAGTAGTCCCCAGTGTTTGTTGTTCCCATCTTTACGTCTACGTGTGCTCAGTGTTTAGCTTCCACTTATATATGAGAACATGCAGTATTTCATTATCTTTTCCTGCATTAATTCACTTAGGATAATGGCCTCCAGCTGCATCCACGTTGCTGCAAAGACATGACTTCATTCTTTTTTATGACTGCATAGTATTCCATGGTGCATATGTACCACATTTTCTTTATCCAATCCACCGTTGATGGGCACCTAGGTTGATTCCATGTATTTGCTATTGTAAATAGTGCTGTGATGAACATACAAGTGCATGTGTCTTTTTGACAGAATGATTTATTTTCCTTTGGATATATACCCAGTAATGGGATTGCTGGGTTGAATGGTAATTATATTTTAAGTTCTTTGAGAAATCTCCAAACTGCTTTCTACAGTGGCTGAACTCATTTACAGTTCCACCCAAAGTGTATAAGTGTTCCCTTTCCTCTGCAGCCTTGCCAGCATCTGTTGTTTTTGACTTTTTAATAGTAGACGTGGAATGGCATTTTTAATGTACCTAAAAATGTCAATTCAGAATTCTATATCCAGTAGAAACACTTGTCAAAAATGAAGATGAAATCAAGATATTTTCAGATATATGGAAGCTGGGAAAATGCATTGCCAGCAGATCTGCACTACGAGAAATGCTAAAGGAATTTCACGACAGGATACAAGATGCAACTGATCTACAGGAAGAAACAGCACAACTTAATAGTATATGCAACAAAAATACAAAAGGCTGTTATTCTCTTTTTACAATAAAACTGACTGTGTAGAGCAAAACCCATTACATTGTTTTGTGGAGTTACGTATATCTTATGTATGATAACAAAACCAGGGAATCAGGGTTGGGAGGGGGAATTATAAGGTTTAAAGTTTTTTTTTTTCATTTTCCATGATGTGGTATAATAACTCTAGGTAGACTATGGGGAACTGGGGATACATATTGTAATCCCTCAAGCAACCATTAAAAATAATACAGAGCGTTAGGGCTAAAAATCTCACGGATAAGATAAAGGGTACTATTTAAAAAATTCTGTTAACCCAGAAGGGCAGAAAAGAAGGAACAGAGAAAAAACAAATAAGACAAAAAGAAAGCAAATAGAAAAACAGTACAGTTAAAACCAACCATGTAAATAATTACATTAAATATAAATTGATTAAATATTTGGATTAAAAGTCAGAGATTATCAGAATGGACAAAAAACAAAACCTAATAATATGTTCTATACAAGAGACATACTTTACATCTAGAAGCATAAATAAGTTTAGTCAAAGGATAAGAAAAGATATGCCATGTCACATTAAACATATTAAGATGAGAGTGGCTATTTAAGTATATCAGACAGAGTAGACTTCAAGATAAGAAATGTTACCAGAAATAGAGAAAAACATTTTACAATAACAGATTAATTCATCAGGAAGACATAGGAACCCTTAATGTGTATGAGTCCAATACAGCTTAAAAATGCATAAAGCAAGAATGGACAGAACTAAAGAGTGAAATTGAAAATGTCAAATTATAACTAGAGATTTTAATGTATCTAAGTAACTGATAAAACAAATAGACAAATTGTAAAATGATAAATAACATTATCAACCAACTCAACCTATTTGACACTTATAGAGCATTATATACAACAATGCAAAATAGTCATTCTTTACAGTTGCAACATTCAATCGAATGTTCACTAAAATAGACCATCTTCTAGGTCATAAAACAAGCCTTAATATATTTTGAAAGATAAAAAATTATAGAATATGTTCTCTGTCCACAGAAAAATTAAATTAGCATTTCATAACAATAGATAGCTAGAAAAACCCTAAAGACTTGGAAAAAATCACTTCTAAATAAAACATGAGTCAAAATAGAAATCACAAGGGTAATTATAAAATATTTTAACCAGATGATAAGAAAAATACAATACATCAAAATTTTGAATGGAGCTAAAGAAGTTATTAAAGGGGAACTTATAGCTTTCAAAGCTTATAAAAGAAAAGAAAAAAGGCTTAAAATCAATGCTTCAAATTTCCTCTTGAAAAATATAAAAAGAAGAGCAGGTTAAACACAAAGTTCAAGAAGGAAACAATAGAGGTAAGAGTAAAATCAATGAAATAGAAAATGGACAAATAATAGAGAAAAATCAAGAAAGTAAAAAGTTGCTTATTTGAAAACATTAATATTTATTACAGGTTAAATATCCCTTATCTGAAATGCTTGGGACCAGAACTATTTTGGATTTTTAAATATTTGCATATACATAATGAGATGTATTGGGGATGAGACCCAAATTTATTGCAGCTGAAGGGGCTGGGAAAGTCTTTTTCCCCTGGGGATGTTGAATAAACTGTGTGTTTTGTACCTGCATTTTGACTGAGATTCATCACCTTAGGTCAGGTGTGGAATTTCCACTTGTGGCATCATGCACTCAAAAAGGTTTGGATTTTGGAGCATTTCAGAGTTCAGATTTTCAAATTAGGAATTCTCAACCTGTAAACCTCTAAATCAATGTATTAAGGAAAGAAACACATATTACCAACGGAAGTAATAAAAAACAGGATGTCACTACAGATAGCATAGATATTAAAATATAATAAGGGAATATTATAAAGTTATGCCAATAAATTTAACAACTTAAGTGAAGTAGACAAATTCTTTAAAAGCACAACATGCCAAAACCAACACAAGAAAAAAAAATCTGATAGCCCTTTAATGTTAAAGAAAAACAATGGATAATAAAATTCCCACAAAGAAAAATGCGGTTGACTCTTGAACAATACAGGTTTGAATTGTGTCAGTCCACTTGTACAAATATTTTCTTTTGCTTCTGTTACCAATGAGATAGCAATAACAACCGTTCCTCTTCCCCCTCTTCCTCAGGCTACTCAACATGAAGACAACAAAGACTTTGATGATGATCCACTTCCGCTTAATGAATAGTATATATATTTTTATTCCTTATGATTTTCTTAACAACACTTTCTTTTCTTTATATTATTTTATTGTAAGAATACAGTAGGTAATACATATACCATATAAAAAATGTTAATTAGCTGTTCATGTTGTTGGTAAGCCTTCCAGTCAATGGTAGGCTATTAGTAGTTAAGTTTTGGGGAGTCAAAAGTTATATGTGGATTTTCTACTGCATGAGGCAGGTGGCACTCCTAACCCCCAAATTGTTTAAGAGTCAACTGTACAGGCCCAGATATTTTCACTGCTGAGTTTTATAAAACATTTAAGAAAAAAGTAATATCAAACTTACCAAACTCTTTTGGAAAACTGAGATGAGGACACTTCACAACTCATTTTATGAGGATACCACAACCTTGAGACTAAAACATGATAAAGATATTACCAAAAAATTATGGAACTAATATTGTGTATGGAAATTCCACAAAAGCCCTTGACGAAATATAGCAACTTGACTCAAATGATGTATAAAGAAGATCATACATGATGATCAATGAGATTTATCCCAGGAATATAAGATTAGTTTAACATTTAAAAATCAATTAACGTAATTTACATCTTGACCACATAAAAAAATAAAATTGAGTATCTCAAAATACACAGAACAAAGTATTTGATCAAATTAAACATCAATTCAGGAGTTAGGAATAGAAGGGAATTCCCTTAATCAAATAAAAGACATCTACACAAAACTACAACTACAGCTAACTCCATACTTAATGGAAAAACGTGAAACATTTGATTTTAAAAATTGGGAACAAGTGTAGTTTTTCTGCTCTCACCTTTTTTGCTTAACATTGTACTGGAAGGTGTAGCCAGTGCAATAAGTAAAGAAAAAAATTAACAGTATACAGATTTTAAAGGAAGATGTAAAAATGAATCTATTCACCAATTGTCCACATAGAACACCTTACCACGAAATCTACCAGAAAAAAAAAAAGCCAAGCCCCAAACATACAAGCAAACAAAATATCAGCAAAAACAAAATATGATTACAACTTACAAATATGTTTAGCAAATTCTCAGGATACATGGTCAATATAAATAATAAATTGTATTTCTATATATTAACTGCAAACAATTTAAAAATTCAATTTAAAAAATTTTATTTTCTAAAGAATCAATAAAAATAAACATGTTAGGAATGAATGTAACAACGGGATATCTAAGGCCTCTTTACACTGAAATTTATAAAACTTTGCTGAGTGAAACTTAAGACACTTCAAATAAATAAAGGAGCCTTACCATATTCATGGATTGGAAGACTAATAGATTTAATATTATCTCTCTGAAAATCTCAGCCAACTTTTTAAATAGAAATGGACAAGTTGATTCCACAATTTATATGGAAATGACAAGAACTAAGAATAGCCAAAACAATTATGAAAAATAACAAAGTTGGAGGACTCAAAATACCGGATATTAACTCTTAATATAAGCTATTGTAATTAAGACAATATAGTACTGGAATAAAGATAGATAAATGATCAATGTAACAGAACAGGGAGTCCAGAAATAGGTCCATAATTATACATTCAAGTGATTTTCAACAAAAGTACCAATGTAGTTTAATGGGGATGGGCCATGCTTTTATAGCTGTGGGGCTGGAGCAACTGGATACATGTATCAAAACAAATAATCCTTGATTACTGCTTCATAACCCACACAATAATTGATTTAAATTGGATCAAGGCTTAAAGGTAAAACTAAAACTATGACGGTTGTAGAAGAATACATAGACAAATATCTTCAACATCTTGTGCCAGACAAAGTTTCATAGACAAAATAGAAGGTACTGAAGATGAAATTAAAAACTAATAAATTTTACCAAATTTTAAAAATGTTTGCTTGTCAAAATACATGCTAAGAAAGTAATGACAAGCTAGTACAATTGGGAGAAATAGTCTTAACACATATATCTACCATCTGGACTTGTATCCAGAATATATAAAGAACTCCTAAAACTCCATAATATATAAAAAAAATTAAAAATGGGTAAGAGACTGGGATAATTTACAAAAGAAGATATACCAATGGTCAATGAGGGCATGCATAGATACCCAACATCATCAGGTGACAGAGAGATGCAAATTAAATAATTTCATGCCCACCAGGATGGCTAAAATAAAGAAGACTAATAATTGAAAATGTCGGCAAGTATATAAATTAACTTGAATAGTCATTCAATGTGGGAGGGAGTGTAAAATAGTACGACCACTCTGTACAACTTCTGTGCCAGTCTCTGAAATAAATATATGACCCAGCAATTCCAATGCTAGGTATTTACCTAAGATAAATAAAAGCCTATGTCCAAAAAAAGAATTGTACAAAAATATTTAGTGGCTTTATTCATAATAGTCTCAAAATAGAAACAACCCAGTGTCCCTTTGAGTATGCATAAACAAATGTCACAGTAATAAAATAGAGTACTACTCAGCAATAAAAAACGCTAACTGCTATATATGCAATGACATCACAAAAAACTTTATGTTAAGTGAAAACGTCAGTATTATATGAAAGGGTACATATGATATAATTCCACTCAAATGAAGTTCAAGAAGTAGCAAAACTGAGATATAATACAAATTAGAACAAATGGTTGGTTGTGGGGATTAACTGGTAGGGAGTGCATGAGAATTTTTTGGAGTGATGAAAATGCTTTATAGTCTTGATGCAGGTGTTAGTTACACAGCTGTGTGCATTTATCAAAACTAATTTTTTGTACACTGAAGATTCATGAATTTTACGATATATAAATTTTAAAAAGAAACTCTTAGTTTCCTGTATGCTAGAACCAGCTCTAGACCTGCATTTGATTAACTAGCTATCCAATCCTTATTTGTCTGTGTCCTGTCTGATGTTTATAGATCACACTTAGCACTTTGCTGAGGGCTTTTATATGCACTGTGTGGTTTAATCATCATGGCCTCATGAAGTAGGTGTTGTAGGAGCTTTTTCCATCTGACTGTCCACACCTGTTGCCTGACTTGGCCTCTATCACCTGATCCTATTTCTTGCACTGGTTTTACTTGGTTCACTCTAATTCTAAAGTCCGCTGAGGGCCAATCAGACAAAATTTGTTTTCCTTATCAGTTCAATAACAAGGAATGTCAAACTCCTTATTTAAGGGGCTTTCTCAATTGAATGCTGACTTTCTACTGTCCAAATCACTTCATCTTGCTCTGCCTCACCTTTTCTGTTTTTAATGAGGCAGAAATGCATCCTTACTGAATGTGTGTGTTGAGGAATACGGAAACAATGGCTTTCAATGGTGGGATGAAAAATTACATGATGCCGGGTGCGGTGGCTCACGCCTGTAATCCCAGCACTTTGGGAGGCCGAGGTGGGCGGATCACGAGGTCAGGAGATCAAGATCATCCTGGCTAACACAGTGAAACCCCGTTTCTACGAAAAATACAAAAAAATTAGCCGGGCGTGGTGGTGGGCGCTCGTAGTCCCAGCTCCTCGGAAGGCTGAGTCAGGAGAATGGTGTAAACCCGGGAGGCGGAGCTTGCAGTGAGCCAAGATCGCGCCGCTGTACTCCAGCCTGGGCGACAGAGTGAGACTCTGTCTCAAAAAAAAAAAAGAAAAGAAAAAAATTATGTGACTATCTATAGACATTTCGAATATAAACTTTTATTGTTTATTAATAATAATGACTTAGTTCATGCTCTTTAACACCAAATAGCACCAAATTTGTACAACCTAAATATCTAGTAAAAAGAAAAGACTGCCTTTACTGCTATATTTGTAGAAAATTCCAAAATGACTGCATGCTTTCGAAATGGACTACAGCTTGTTGGGGTGATTTCTCTAGAAGCCAAGTTTTAGGAAATCACTAAATAAAAGAAAGAGATTATAGCTGAGCAGCAAGATAGAAGCCTCGCAGCCAGCTCCACACGAATGGCTTCTGGATACATAGAGGAAAATAGCAATTTCCCATCTCACTGAGGGGGGAAACAGGCAAGTGGTATTACATTCTCCTGTGCCTAATCAGGAGACCAAAACAGGAAAAGTTATGTATTCTCATCAGGAAAGCTGTTGGGTGGTGTGGTTGATGAGGGACAGATTATGACTTTCAAAAGAGGGAAATTTACAAATGTAGTAACACAAAGGTAGTGACAGATGCAGAATCAAAGAACCGCAGGGTAGAGGGAGGTTTTTAACCGTTGCTTATTAAAATACTGTGTGGGAAGTGAGAAACTTTTCATTCTGCACCAACACATTCATCTAAGGGTATTTGTCTTTGTGATGCAAAGGAAGCAAAATCCTGTGATTCTTAAAATTTTCTACCAAAGGCCTCAACAGTACGTGAAATCACACATTTATTCAGGAATCTAAGGTGAGGGTAACAGAGGGACAGAGGAGAGCATAAGAAGTGGTGGAGGGAAAGGATAGAGTCTACAATGATCCTATGCCAGTGGGAAAGTTTCTTGAAATCCTGTTTATCTTTAAAAAGTTACATAAATAGCAACACATTTAATATAATCCGATTATTATTAGATAATGCTTTAAATTATTCTCAAAGTTAACTTGTTACATTTGTCATGTGGATTATTTTTTGGTATCTTAGATTAGAAAACTGGATGAATGTATTATCAATGGTCTTCATTTTCCTGCTAAGCTTTCCCATGCTTTAAGAGGACCATAAGAAGTCCATGTTGTTTCTTTTTCTACTATTTCCCTAATGTGCCCAACCTTGGACAGGTGGGGGTGATGGTTGGGAGGTGGGTGTGGTAGTGGTAAAGGTTGGAGGGCAGGCAAGCAATAGAGAGTGAGACCCAACTTCTTCCAGTTGTGTGTCCCTGACATCCATGTTTTCCTTCCACTCATCAGTGCTGGCAAGTGAGCTGGTTGAGACAGCTTGGAAATATAACTTTAAAATTTATTGCTTAATACTGATGTCATCCAAAATTATCAGAAGGAGCTATAGATCACCAGTCTCAGGATGCTTTCTCGAGCAACAGGCTCAAGTTAGCCTTTTATAGTATGTCATATTCCTTTTTTTTATGGCATCATTCTTTGTCTAGACACAAATTCTTCCCAGATGGCTCTTGAAGACATCATCCATAACTACATTTCATTTGCATCTATATTTATAATTCTAATGTGGGTAGCATAGGTGTGGATGCTATAGGCAGGGAAAGCAGCAACAGCACACACACAGAGCAGCTTTGCCTGAGCCTTTATGTCTATGTGATCATTTTCCATGATGATTTTGCTTCTCTTACTCTGTGATTTAAAAAATGAAAGTAATTTCACTATTCTCTCCTTGTCCTCTCTTTGTTTGGTCTTATTCCCTTGTTACGGCCTGCTTACAGATCTTCTTTCTCTGTTTCTCTCTCTATGCTACCTCAAGGTCAGCATAATTTGAATTTTTTCCCCTGAATTTACTAAGTTAACTTCTATACTTGAACCTTGATGCTTTGTCTTTCTTGCTCTAATATATATTTTTCTTCTCTGATCAATATTTCCACACAACAGTCTTACATGTGTTACAGCAGCAGCTATAATAATAATAATAACAATAATACTTTCTATTTGTGAACTTTGCAGGCACAGAGTACAGTACTTGTGTATACAATATTTAACAAATAAATGGATAATGATGTTTAACAAATGGATAATGATAATAGCCAACACATATTGGGCATTTATTGTATGCCAGACACTCATTACGTGTATTTATTTAATGTTTATAACTTTTTGAATTTACAGTAATTATTATCATAGATTGCAGACAAGGAAACAAACACAAGGAATTTAGCAATTTATAAAGGGTCAGAGTTCTCACAGCAGTAATTGTAGAGCTGGGATTTGAACATAAGTCAGTTTGATTAAATATATTTTGGGTCTGCCACCATCAACACTAGTTCTAAGTGTATTATGATGGTGGCCATCTTGATTGTTCTCTTTTATAAGGCTTTGCTAAAATAGTCAACAGTGAGTTCTGGTAATCAAGTATATTTTAATTTCCCTGTGGATTTCTCATTGTAGTATACCAATAGTCTAAAAATTAGAGATCGCTATTAGGAAACCTACTTATGTTAATAGGCAAACAAATTATCAGTTCAGTGTTTACTTGAGTCTTCAAGTAAGAATGTATTCAGAGATTGATGATGCTATTGAATGTGCTGTCATAAAATCATTGACTTTTACACCTGAAAAGAATATTAGATAATGATGATGATAATAATAATAATAATAGTAATAGTAATAGTAATGATAATAATACCTGCCAGGCATACCAAGTTTTCTATATTCTGGGTCTTTTGTGATGATCATTATATACATTGTTTCATTAAATTCTTAGAATGACACTATGAAGTAGGCTATCATTTTGCACTATGATGATTTTACCAGTGAGAAAATAGACTTGTTATAGTTAGATAACTTCCTAAGTGATAATTGGCCAAGCTGAGATTCAAATACTGCAGAGCTTGTGCTCTTAAACATTGTTATTTGTTACAGTTTATTATACCCACAAATTTTCACAAATGCTAAAGTTGATGTTTAGAGAAGTTACTTGGCTTTTGCAGACCCTAAAGCTAGTCAGCATCTGCATCAGTCTGTTTTCACACTGCGATAAAGAACTGCCTGAGACTGGATAATTTAGAAAGAAAAGAGGTTTAATCAATGCACAGTTCTTCAGGCTTAACAGGGAGCATGACTGGGAGGACTCAGGAAACTTACAATCATGGCAAAAGGTGATGGGGAAGCAAGCACCTTCTTCACACGGTGGTGGGAGGGAGAGAGAGAGCAAGGGGGAAAGTGCCATACACTTTTAAACCATCAGATCTTGTGAGAACTCACTATCATGAGAACAGCATGGGGGAAATCAGTCCCCCATGATCCAATCACCTCCCACCAGGTCCCTTCCCCAACATTGGGAATTATAATTCAACATGAGATTTGGGTGAGGACATGTAGCCAAACCATATCAGTGTCTACCACTGGCTTTTAGTTGAAGATTTTTCCCATTACTGGTCACATTTTCTTTCACGCCACTTTGCTTTTTCAACAAAGCTTCAACTATTACCATCTTCTTCAATCATTCTTTCAACTAATCCAAAACTGAAGGTTAGGTTTATGCAGAGAATAAAGTATAATAGAGAATACATAGATGAATATGTCCTCTAAGATATTATAAACTAATTATGATAGAGAAAAAAACTATATAAGCAGCTAATTATGCTTCAAAGCAGAAAGAATTATACAGTATATTAAAAATCCAAGCAGTCTTAAGTTGGACTTGGAAAAAGTATTCGGATGATGTGGAATTTGAAATGAGCCTTGAAGGAAGGGTAGGGAGTTTGAAGGTAGGGTATTCCATCCAGATAGTTATGGATGAGAGCCAGCTAGGTGCTGTGAGAGGCACAGAGGCAGTCCAAGAAATAATCTGTCATCATGAGGACATAAATGCTACCTGATGAGGCAAGACTTACATATGTGGCATGAAAGTGCCCAGCATAGTGTTAAAGAGCTGTAGAAGGTCAGAGACAGATAAATATTTGAGAGCCAGAGTAGCCAGGGAAGGTCTACACAGGGAGCAGAGCCTGAGTTGAACTTTGAAACCTTGAAAGATAGGCAGTAGTTTTACATGAGAAGAGGGGCAGTGCAGGCAAGGGGAGGGTCCCAGGTACAGTCAGGTAAGAGTGCATGAGGGTGTTGATGGCATAGTGAGCAGACACACAGTAGTGTGTGTTTGTGTGTGTATGTTTAGGTGGGTACACACAGGTGATGGCTAAAGAATAACTGTGACAGACCAGAAGCTGGGTAAGTGATGCCAGCAGGCAGTATGACAACATGTTAACAAGTAGAGATGGGTGACCTAGTGCAGTGTTCTGTAGACTACAAAGTAATGACAGGTCCTGGAGAAGGTTATATAGCCCTGAGTGATCGCAGCTTATGCATCCATCATGTGAGTGCTGCTGGCTGAGTGTAATCTTGTTAACATCTTCATCTTTAAATAAGATTAGGAAAAATAGTCCATGGCAATACAAGTTGTTTATTTTTAAAGGCTATCTTCATTTTTTTAATAGAGAAAAAATAATATTGTTATGTGCAAAATCTAAACATACTGGAGAAGTCGGTATCAGCTTACATTACTTTTTCATCATTATTCATTCACACGGTCTCTAATACACTTGAATGAAAATTTAAATTAGATCACTAGTGATAATGATATTTGAATTCTGGCATACAAAAGTAGTGGAGTAGGAGAGACAGCAGAGAGACAAAACTGACTTAGGTTAAGAATCTGTTATGAGGAGTGTTAGGAGCTGACAACCTCCATCTGCCACACTGTTGGGATCTGCTTCAGCTTTCACTTTGAGACCATACTCCCATGAGCTGCTCCCAGCTGATGCTTGAGCATAGGGCCTGGAAATTTCTGCCCAATATGGGGCTTCTATATGTGTGATCTTTGCACTGGTGTTTCCCATTGGGTTGGCTCAAACTTTCTCAAAGCCCTACTGTATCTGAGATGCTTCCTAATGAGTCCCCCTTCCTCCCCTCTCTCCTTTTGCAGGTATCAGCTTTGCATCTTGGCCTGAAGGCTTTCCCTGATTACTTCTACTTCCTATCCCCCCAATCAATCTCTTGCCCTTGAATTCTTTCTTGATATCTGTTTGCTAGAGGACCCAAACTTACCCAGCATCTTTGTGATTATATAAATCAAATAAATAGAGCTATAGTTGAGAATAGAGGTCAGCAAACTTTTTCATAAAGGGGTAGCTAGTAAATATTTTAGGCCTGGTGGGCCACACATGGTCTCAGTCATATGTTATTCTTTATTTTTTCTTACAACCTCTAAAACTGTAAAAGCCATTTTTAACTTGTGGGCTGTAAAAAACTGGCAATAGTTTGCCTACTCCTGATATAGGGTATAAGGCATTTAATTTTAAAAGTATTTGCTTATTTTCTCCATGTTTCAATTTTACTAACTATAAAATAAAGCTAGATCTGCCCACTAAGCTCGCAGGGACTTTCTTTTAGCTTTATCAGTGGCAGTGAATAATTTCAATCTGGCCTTGGAGTCTGAAGAAGGAGACTGAGATGTGGTAGAAATTCAGGAAGTGGAGGGGGTGCCAATGAAAATATGTGGATCTAAGGCAGGTAATCTCTGATGAAGAGAGAAAAATCATAGAAACAGAAAAAGTGAAATTATCAGAAGCCCTTCCTTCCAAAACTTCCATAAGCCAGCCATGCATGAGAACTTTGAATAAGAGGAAAGGCAGGGCGGAAGTAGAGAATAAGAATGGATGGAGAAAGAAAGGCAAGGAGACAATGAGAAGGGCAAGAAAAGGGAGAGAAGTAGAGGCTGTTATGTTATTTTATTTTATTTTTACATAACAAAATGGTTGAGAAAATATAGAAATAAAAATATCCAACCTCTGGGAGTGGAGTAGACAACCTAAAATTTGATTGAAAGGAGTAATTGTCCAGAAGTCATATTTTTCACTGCATAAAAGTAGCTCTCTGGGAAGAGAGCAGTATGTAATGGAACCCTGATTAAAGTCAATTATAATAAACTCAAGGAACATATTCTTAATAATTCAGATTTGATGTCAATGTTAGCTTTCAGAAAATTGATGCTATTTTAATGACAGCCATTAGAAGAAAAAGGGATTTAGAGCACTTAATAGAACACTGTACAGAACAGTTCTGTTCATTCCCTCCAGGAAAATGTATCAGGATGTAGGAATCTTTGTTCTCTATTAAATGTCATAGGGGAAGGAACATAGGGTGTGGTTTTAGACTAGAGGATATAAGTATGAAACCAAACCAAAGCGAGGGTCTAAATGGTATTAACTCTGAAGCAGATGCCTGTTGTGCTTAATTACACCATTTCCTTTTTCTGGGCACTTAAGTTGGGGCAATACCTCTGAGTTTTAGCTAGTGAGATGAAGGCAGAAATGTCCCTTAAAACATTCCTCTTGACCTCTCTCTCCACTACTCTCTACTTCTGCAGTGATCTTGAAGGTCAAGCATTGCAGTTGGAATAGCTACAAGTTGAAGGAGGGCAGCCCTATCAATGCCATGCTATGTCCAAATGAGAAATAAATTGAAATTAGACTAAACCAATAATATTTTGTGGTTTATTTGCTACTTTAACAGAGGCTAGCCTATAGTGACCAGCAGAGATTCTGCAGGCATGAAGCCATGGTCAATGACTTGCTACACGCGGAGCTCAGGAAAATATTTGAATGTTACATTTGGTAAGCCAGCGTGGTTAAAGGGGCACATACAGGGCCGCAAGAATGCCTTCTGTTGAAAAGCAGATTAAGAGGGAAGCAGATGTTGCTGGAGTCATTTCAAGGTTTCAAAATTTGTTTAAAGCAGAGCCCAAAGAATGATAACTGCCCAGATGAATTCAAGCAAGCCTTTCAAGGCTATCGGAAAAGAAAGAAAATCAGACCCGATATACCATCGATAGCAACACTGAGGCAGCATCTGAGACCAATTGCTGGTGCTGTTGGGTTCTGGTTGAGATTCTGTTTCCTATTGTTTAAAAATTAGTGAATAGGGAAGGTTTTCCTGAAGAGAAATTATTGTAGAAAATAGAGAGTGGGTAATACAGAAAAGGTAGATAGCTGTGCATTGGAGGCCTGATACAGTCAGTTACCTGCTCTGATCTTTCCTGGCCCCTGCTAAAAATTGTAATGGGTCCTCTGTCTTCTCCCTAAAGCCCCATACATGTTTACCATACTGGATTGTTTCCTGTTGCCCAAATGAATCTTCCATTCTCCTAGTTTAATGGCTTCACTTATCTTGGTTTCCCTGATGGACATGCTCTTCTTTCTCACTTTTTCCTGATGAAATCCCAGCTCTTTTTCAAGGCCTAGATCAAATGCCATCTTCTACACAAAGGATTTCCTGTTGATTCTAGTCTATCATTTTCTTCCTCAATTCTCTCATAGAACCACATAACTTTCTGATACCACTTTCCTTCTACTTGTACTGTAGTTATTTGTATTTATGTCTTTTCTCTCCAACTATTTTGTAAACTTCTTGAGATCATGTTGAATTTATTTTTTTGTATGCCACGTAGTACAAATCAGAATTTCTGGTCTTAGTGTGTGATACATAAATGTTTAATTCAATTGAAGATAATTGAAGAATAAAAAGACTAATTTCTTTTGGCATTACTAGGCATGAAGACATATTAAATATGATAAATTAGCAGAATAGTGTTATAAAAAATGAAGTGAGATGAAGGGAAAAATTGGTAGCCAAACAGTTCTTAGTAAATATAAGGTGACACAAATAATGAAATATTATAAATTAATGATGGTGGGATAGTTACTTTGATATTTGTTTAAAAAATAGGAAAAAGAAACAAAATTGGTTTAGATCTTATCTTATACTCTACCAAAACAAATTCCAGAGAGAAATACAGAAATAACAATAAAATAATCAAGCCAGAAAATATAGAAAAGATTAACATCTATTCTGTGTCTAGATTTGGAAGGACTTATAGCCTTAAAAGCACTGGAAGAAATCATAAAGAAAAAAATTATAACAGACTTTAAAAACAAGTTCAAACAACTTTGGTACTTAAAAACAAACAATACAAACCATAATTTAAAGACAAGCTTCAACTCGGGGGTGGGGGAAAATATTTGCAAGGAATATCATTAAAAACAGAATTTATAACCCTAAAGTATAAAGAGCTTACATAAATTAGATGAACAATAGGACTACAACAGTACTTAAACTGATAATTGATAAAGAGAAAATAAAATGTTCAACCCATTAAAGAAATGCAAATTAAAAGAACAATGAGCACCAATTTTTGACCTATAGAAAATATTAAAGATTTAATGTACTGAATTTTAATGTGGGTCAGTGAGTCATTCATTTATATAATACTAATGGAAGTGAGAATGTTCTAGAAAGCAATTTAATAATATGTATCAATAGACTAAAATATTCATAACTACTTACTGATTAATTCCACTTTTAAGAATCAATACCTAAAGAAATTTTGCACATAATGATGTTTATAAAAGTGTTATTAAGAATGGTGAATATGAGCAACAATCTACAGTATATATTCAGCATGAGGAAAATTAGTAAATTATAACATATTTAGAGAGAAAATTGTATGTAGTCTCTGAAAATAATTTTTATAAAGAGTTTTGAACGATGTGAATAATTTCTTATGATATGATATTGAACAAGAACATAAGATATAGTATACCTGTGTAAAATTTCATACAAAGAAAAGTTTTTCAAAACATTTGTGCTGGTGTTGGCATAATACATGTATTTTTCTCTTTCATAATTTTCAGATTTTCTCAATAATCATGCAAAGATTTTTAGACAGAAAACTGTAAGCAAAATATACAAATTTTTAAGACTAATGACTTCAATACAAAACTGGGAAAGTAAGATGATAAAGGACCTACATGTACAAAATAGAATTTGAATTTCAGAGTATTTTCAAAGGCCTTTAAGAAGGTATGGCATTTAGAAGAACATTCAGTTTGCATAGATTGAAGTAATTTTAATAGAGGGATCACTTATGAAAGTAGAAGAGATAGTTCATAATCCAAGGGCTACCAAAATGAGAAGCTGTTTCCACCCCTAGAGCTGAGGTGGCAATGAGATAGAGTGGTGACAAGAATCAGAAGAGGGTAGCTGTATGGAGAAGTTTGCCTAGCAGGGTCAACCAGTATGCAGAGATCAGAAGGGGGAGCAAGGGGCATAATGACCTCAATTTCACTTGCCTCCTACTTGCCAAGCTCCTGCAGATGCTCTCCATTGGGTGACCCCAACTGGAAGTTAGGGACCAAGGGGGCCTGTTGGTGCAGATCAGCTTCCCAAGGCACGTAGCAGAGTGGAGGGAAGAGAGGAGATCAGAATGATAAATGAAAATACGGCACAGATGCTGTGGGAAAAAAAGAAAAGCTTGTCATGAAGGATCTCATAATGCATTCTTTACAAACAAATTGTTGGTTAAAGTCAATATGAGTTGGGGAATTGATTAATTGAAGATCTTCCAATGGAAGAAGAAGCCTGATCAATAAGGTTTGTTGCATATGCTACACATAGCAAAAGATTTTTGGATACAGCTAATATTGTGGGGGAAATAAAACAGGCTATAGTAACAAACAATTTATAAACTCTCATTAAAATGAAAGCAGAATGGCAAAGACTCACCAATTTAGGGGTAAAAATTTCCTGGAATAGCAAAAATGCTGTAGCTTACAGATAAATATGTGTTTGAATCAGGGAAAGAACTAAGAAGGTTAGGACAAATTGTAGTAAAGAGGATACAGAAACTGGTGAGGTGAAAATGATGGTAATTTGAAAAACTGGAATGTAGCAGAAGTGTATGTAAATTGCATACATTTTGGTATCTTTATGTAAAAAAGAACAAAAGTGGAAGTTTGGGAGGTGAAGTTTGAAGTTAAAAATCTATTATGGTTTTGTTATTTGTGATTATTTAAATCTAAATTTAATAACAAGTTTTGCAATCTCCCTGTCTGCTTTATCGAGTGTTAATGTTCAATGATACTGCATTCATTTGAAACACATTTTTCGTGAATTACTTAGTAATGTGGTCATGTTACAAAAAGCAGAATACAGTAGCTTGCCAAAGTTTTTGGATAATTGTTTTAGTGGTCATAGTACAGTATCACTCTTGGCAAATAAAATGTGGCTGTTTTGGAAAGACAGCATTTCCTTCAAAGGTTAAAAATATATTGACAACCTCTGAGATTCAACAGGAACTCATCTTTAAGATAAGGCCCACATAAAAAGTTTAGATATTGCCTGATGGCAGAGAGATAAATGGTTGTCAGAAAATGAAAATGGCTCATTTTATAAGTGTGAGTGGCAATTTTCCTATAACTCTGTCATATGGATAAAGTACATGCCTTTCTGACGCAGCCTGGCTGAAGGGAAGGAAGGAATAGCCAGGATTAATGAGATAAATGAAAATAATATTTATTTTCTGAGGCACTCTATTAACATCTTCGAGTGGGTCTGCCAGAATCTTTCTCCCAATATCATTATGTGAATGACATAGTTAAGACATTTATTAAGTTAACAGAAGTAGAGAATAGAGGTACCCTGCAGAAACATCTTTGGCAAAAATGAAGGGATCTGTTGCGACTCTGCATATATCTGTTGCTCTTCTTTTGCCTAATTTTATCTCTGTGTGTTTGAAATGTGTTCACTGTACTTCCCTTCTATTTAGAGCTTGATAAAGGGAAGTTGAAAGGTATAATATGACATTTTTAACTCTTAAGAATAAAGATAACCTATGGCTTAGCTAAAATATTAATTTCACAGCAAAACTATTGCTTGTATCAGAGAGAGAAAGAGGAGAGGAGAGGAGGGGAGGGCAAAGGAGGGGAGGGCAAAGAAGGGGAGGAGAAGAGAGGAGAGATTTGCTAATATAAGTTGTGACCTAAAACTTAAAAAGCATTTTTAATTGGTCAGACATGGAGTATGTTTGCCTGTTTAATCTTTTTACTTGCTTGTGTATTGAAGAGTACTTTCAAATTTAGCTGAGTGTCCTCTACACATTCAGGAAAGTAATACTTACGGGAGATAGTCCTGTCAGATACATGTGTGATATATTTGTTAATATATAGTATAACACAAACTTGCATTATACTATAATTTCCCACTCACTTACCCTAAATGCTAACCCACTAATGTTAGTATGAGACCAGCCATGAGGCAGTCTTGAATTTATATGCTACTTCCCTGTCTCGGTCATTTTATCTTGAAAGTACCCTACAACATCTACAGATATCTCATACAAAATACACCAATCAAAAGACCAACAGCATATGTGTGTACATTTTGCCTTGCCCAGTGTATCCTTTTGGATGTTTTTGGTTCAGTCTTCAGATCTGCATAAGTATTGGAGGTTCTCAGGGGCCCAATAATCCCACTCTCCAGAGGCAAACTCTGTGATTAGTATTTATCTTTCCAGTCTTACTAGATGCACATTTAAATGTGTATATGTTCTATATTATGCATACCGAACTGTAATCTGCTTTTACTCATGTAATATGTGGTAAGTCAGTACCTAAAAATTATCTGATCCTTTCAAGTGGCTGCATGGTATTCTGTTGTATGGACCCACTCCAATTTATTTTTAAAATGATTGGTGAATTCTAGGTTGTTTCAGATATTAGTAATGAAATAACGACTTTATGAACCTCACAATGACACATACATTTGCATTTTTATTTATTCCATAGGATAAATCCAAAATGTGGAATTACTGAGACTACATACATTTAGATTGTTGGTGTGCTTTGCAACATTGCCATTAGAAAGGTTGATTAAAATTTTACTTTTTAGGCCAGGCGCGGTGGCTCATGCCTGTAATCCCAGCACTTTGGGAAGCCAAGGCAGAAAGATCACCTGAGGTCAGGAGTTCGAGAGCAGCCTGGCCAACATGGTGAAACTCGGTCTCTACTAAAAATACAAAAAAATTAGCTGGGTGTGGTGGCCAGCGTCTGTAATCCCAGCTACTCGGGAGGCTGAGGCAGGAGAATTGCTTGAACCCAAGAGGCGGAGGGTGCAGTGAGCCGAGATTGTACCACTGTACTCTAGCCTGGGCAACAGAGTGAGACTCCATCTCAAAAAAAAAATTTTACTTTTTAAAAGTTAAAATCCAAGCAGTTAACAAAAAAAGAAAAAGGGGGGGTGGATTTTCTTTTTTCTGTTTTCCTAGAGTACACTCATTTTCCTCATTATTTGGGGCAGATGTTAAATGGTATCATTTTTCTCTCTCTCGTGCCACTTTATGAACCCTCGTGTTTGCCAGTGTTCTTCCTTTAATGTTGTGACCAGAGTTACTGATCCTTATTATAATCCGTGTGGACTCTTCCCTTTCGGAAAGAATGCACATCCCTTTGTGGGATTAACCGAGAAGGAGAGGTTCTCTGTCATCTGATGAGATTGATGCTAATCCTGACATGACTCACTGAGTGGAACCTATTTCTTTCTAACTTAATGGTGGTGATTTTTGCAGCTTTGAAAATAAATTCTATTTAATATTTGCCTGTGACTTAGGATTTTTTCCCCCGTGAACAATTTCCTTTGTACAGCAGCATATATGATTATATGATTTCTGATTGTGTGAATTTCAGCTGGATCAGAGCATAAATGGTCAAACTCAATAGCCATTAGACATTGATAGTTGTTAAAACTTCTACCAGACACATTATTTCTCTGTGTGCTCAAGCATGGATTTCACAGTTTAACAGAAGACTTTTTCTGCATGTTATATTTAAGAAATCACATTGAATCTTATGAATATAGTAAAAAGAATGTGTTTAAGATTTAAAGCCTTGTGTCATATCATTTCAATGTTATAATAACATGTATTGGGGTAGTAAAAATGGCACTTTCTCTGGCTTTACGTGAGACTGATATTATATATGTGCATGAAAGGAATTGATGAGAAATGGAACTGTGAATAAATTTTTTCATATCAGTTATACCTAAGACCATGAGAATATGATTATCTAGAATGTGAATTTTTGAGTTTTTAATCACACAGTGGTTTGTAAATTTAAGATCATAACATTAAGTAATTTTCTTCTTAGAACAAGGGTTATTTAATCTGGAAAATGAGGATAATATCATTCCCGTCCCACATATAAAACAATGTATTTATAATATAATAAATCTGTATTTGACAAGAAAGAAAATATGCATCCATTTTCTAATCCTTGTTATTACCTAAATCCTGTTTTTGCTGCTTATGTAAAATGTCAAGAATTTTATGTGGCTGTTCTTGATGCTTCATACTAATTGTCTAAGTAATCCAAGTACATAGTTTATGTGTCCAACTTCAAAAAGAGATCACCCTCTAAAGGGAGAAACATGGACATCACTGGGGAACAAAAAGTTCAGGAAAAAAAATTCCTCCTATTTTGTATTTTCATTTTGCCTTACATTCTTCTTTTCCACATTCCCAGTCTGATTTTTAATGCTGTGTCAAGTATATGTATTAAACCAATATCTGAGAGTTGACATTAAACACTTCAAAATAAAAACAATTTCTGCTTTACAGATGGTAAAATGGAATCCCTGTGAGTTTAAGTGACTTTCTGAAGAGTGTACATCTAGTAGGGAAGGAGCTGGGCCTGGAACCCAGAGCTCTTCTGTACCCAAACATTGTCCTCACCTAATCTTCCCTGCCTCCTTGGGCATTTTTTCTCATGTATCAATGTTGTATAACCTGTGTATTTCATGAGTACTAGCTGGTATAGTAAAAAGAATGCTGCACTAAAAATCAGAAATCTGGAGTTCTGGGTCAACATTTTTATCTTATTAGTTCTGTGATCTTAGGCTTTGATGTAAATTTTCCTGAACTTTCTGGAGAATGAGGCTGATAATAATATCTACTTTTCTTACCTACTTTGCAGGAATGATGTATGCACACAATACAAATTTTATGTATTGTGAAGCTTTCTGAGAAACTATTATTGTTCAAAATTTTCACCGTGCCTCCCTATGGCAGGATTTATACTTCCTCTTTCCACTGATGTGTGATTGGGCATGTGCTTTGCTTTGGCAAATAAAACATGAGCAGAATTGCTATGCTTTGTTATAAGCAGAGACTTTTGATTTCTTTTCCCTGACTCTATTTTCTTTTATTTCTGCTTGCAAACCAGGCAATTCTTTTCTGAGCTCATCTCTTTTTTGTAATTAGTTGCTAAACATAGCCAAGAGTAGCCCATATACAGTATTAAAAAGCGCCAACTGTTAAAAGACAAAACTTTAAAGGCCTTGAAGCCACATGAGCTAATTAAAACAGACAAAATGAGACAAAAGCAAGAGTATGGCCCTAAATTCCATTGTTAAAAATCTTCAAATTGACTGAGATGACACCTACTAAATTATTTCAGCTGGATAAAATTTCCCAGGGAGAAAAGATCATAACTCTCTGACAGAAGCCTGATATGCTAAATCTAGTGTGGAGGTGTGTTCTAAAAGGAATTGCTGCTGTGGCTTTTGTCACATAGTGTGACTTGAATCAAATAGTCAAGACATTATTATTATTATTATTTATTATTATTATTTTGAGATGGAGTCCTGCTCTGTTGCACAGGCTGGAGTGCAGTGGCACGATCTCTGTTCACTGTAACCTCTGCCTCCCGGGTTCAAGCGATTCTCCTGCCTCATCCTCCCTCAGCCTCAGCTGGGACTACAGGTGTGTGCCACCACGCCAGGCTAATTTTTTGTATTTTTAGTAGAGACGGGGGTTTTACTGTTTAGTCAGGATGGTCTCGATCTCCTGACTTCGTGATCCACCCACCTCAGCCTCCCAAAGTGCTGGGATTACAGGCGTGAGCCACTGTGCCCAGCTGATGTTGTGTTTTTATAGGCTAGTGTGACCCCAAACCCAATTAATCCTAAGTAAAAGAGACTCAATTTTCAAAACTTAATATGACTACTGGGCCTATCATCTTTTATGGGCAGACAACAGGATGTCAAATTTGCTCAGGTTCCAAGAAGGTCTTATGATCTAATATCCTCCTTAGAGATAAAGGAGGATGAGGGAAAAAGAGCTCCCATAGGGCAGAACTCATGGCTATTGAGAATAATGGAATAGAGAGCTTCTCCCCCAGGTAGAAACAGAGCCTAATAAGAAACATTTCCTACTGATTGGTCTGCTAGGGCTACCATAACAAAATACCATGGACTAGATGGCTTAAACAACAGAAATATATATTTTTCACAGTTTTGGAAGCTGGAAGTCTGAGATTAGGGTGCTAGCACGGTGATTTTCTGCTGAGGGCTCTCTTCCTGGCTTGTAGGCAGCCACCTTCTCACTGTGTATTCACCTGGCCTTTCCTTGGTGCATGTATGTGATATGTGTGTGTGTGTGTGTGTGTGTGTGTGTGTATGTGTGGCAGGGTGTGGGGGTCGGTGGGGTGGTAAGAGGCAAGTTCTCTTGTGTCTCTTCTTACAAGTACACTAAAGATGATATCTCTAAGGAAGGAGGTAAGGTTAAATGAGGCCATAATGGTGGGGCCTTGATCTGATAGGAATAAAATACAACTACACTGGGCGGGGGCAGGACTTCATGATATGAATTTTGGAGGGATACAAACATTCACTTCATAATACCTACCTTCAAGGTTGGCTACTTACAATGCTTGAGAGCGGGGTTTTAGAATTGCTGTGAAACAATGGCTGGATGCATCTTTCATTCTTCTTGTTTCTGAATAGGAGTGCTTATTATGATGGGGAGTGGGGAAGGAAGGGCTGATAACTTGACTTTTTTGTTTTGGATCTTTGGACCAAGGGAAGCCACACATAGACCTAATGTTGAAACTCTCATAAGAGTTTGAGTCTCATGCTTTGACCAGATGATGAATCTTTGAATTGCCTCCTTATGGAGATAGGAGGGGAATTATTGTGTTTTGTACATGGACAGAAGATGTTAAATATTCGTGAACAAGAGAGTAGAACTATGATATGACATGACACAATGTGTTTTCTGTCCTCCCTGCTGTGCCCCTTCTTGTGTGTCTGCCTGTGGAAAGATTATATATTCTAATCCCATTGATGTCAGATTTGGCAATAAGGCTTGTTTTGTGTGGCCAAGAAAATGTGAACAAAAGTGATGTTTGTCACTTTCAAGTGGCAACTTTAAGCTAGAGTGTGCTTCACTGGGAGGTGAACAGCATTGTAGATAAAGGTTACTTTGTCAGTCTGAATGCTGTTAAGATAACGCTGAGCAGAACCATAATAGGCTTGTGGGACGGATGTGGGATAGAGAGTAAAAGTACAATGAAACAAAGCTTTTGTTGTGAGCCACTGAGATTTTCAGATTGTTTATTAGCACATTATAACCCAGGCTTGGCAAGCTGATAGCATCCTGTATGCATATAAGGAATTAATTTACATTAGGTGTATATTATATTTAATTCATGCGAAATGATCAAAGGATTAAATAGATACTATTTTATTTAATTTGGTAGGATCTTGAGGGTAAAATTAAACTACAGAAAACCACATTTTCATATTGAGAAGTAGCCCAAAGCAGAGGTAAATAACTTATTTTGCTTCAGTGTTAGTATTATAAGATCCATTAAACTGTTTTAACACAAGTTTGGAATAACGTATTTTTTTTCTTTTTTCTTTCTTTCTTTTTTTTTTTTTTGTGATGGAGTCTTGCTCTGTCGCCCGGGCCGGAGTGCAGTGGGATGACCTTGGCTAATTTTTGTATTTTTAGTAGAGACGGAGTTTTGCCATGTTAGCCCGGCTGGTCTTGAACTCCTGACCTCAGGTGGTCCACCCACCTTGGCCTCCTAAATTTGGAATAACATCTTAAAATGAAGAGCAGAGATTTTGGAAAATAATTAGTTCTTCCGGTGAGTATGCCATGACTCTCCAGCTCCTTTACTTTATCGTGTTGGGGTATAGTGCACTATTTTGGCTTCCAGAGATGACAAACATGCTGATGCACCCAGTCCCATTTTATTGTAATAAATTTAAGATGACTTCAGCAACATTTTCTATGAACTGGCCAAAGCTATTAAGAGGCTAAATCTGCTCTTTCCTAATTTAAATTCAATTGACGCTCCAGTCTGAGATCTCTAGCTTATCTGGTCTTCATTAAGAGCCTGTTAAACTATGGCAAAAGCATTACATTTTGGACATTTACACCATTACATATAATATTAATTGCCCAAGTGTACTAATTAGCTGATTAGAATAACTGTTCTTTGTATATATATCATTTTACTGACTCAAGAGTCTGCATTTTGACTAGCATTAGGAATGGAGAAAAAAAGATTTTTTGTGTTGTAAAGGAAAGAGTCACCCAAGCATTCCATGATCATCAATATTCTTTTGAAAGTTACCTCAACTAAAATTCTTTTAGTCACATCTTGTCTTCAATCACTCAAAAGGACTTGAGTGCTCATTAGTAGGTTTCTCCAACCAATTTTTGGTGCTGGGCATAGTGTTGAAGGAGGGAAATGTAATGAACTTACTCAGCATTGCAGATAGGATCAATTGATCTTCCAGGCAGCAAATACTTGATCAGCTCTTCTCATACTTACCCATATCTTTATGTGGAGACGTCTGAAATCAGTGAACAGCAGCAGCTTAGTAAGTAAGATACCAACAGAATGAGCTATAATTATAAAGACATTCTGTCTGCCTACATTAAGACCCAGAATAATTTGTGGGCATGAGGGCTCAAGCTAATTAACAAGACTGTTTTTTAGTCTTCAATAATTCTAAAGTCATATACCCTCTGTTATCAAGTGAATGCAGAATGAGATCTCAATGCAAATACTTAAGTTTGTAGATATAAAATACAAATATTTGCTTAAAGTTTATATAATGTAAGAAAAAGAAAATTAAGATGGTTTTGTTATCAACACAGAATGATTCCAATTTATTACTTTGGTGCCCAGGACTACTAAGTGTAATGTGATCATTTGTAATAACTCAAACTGGGAGATCTGAGTGGTGAGAAAGCTAAGTATTCTGGGAGTCAGACCACTGAAGTACTGCAATGAAAATATTTTAAAATAGGTGACTTCCTTTATGAAAATAGAAAATAAGGGCTATTTCTAGCATGAATAGTGTATTATTTGAAAAGTCTATGTCTTTGTTTTCTGAATATTGCCAATAGAAGTGCTGATAAAACTCACGGAAATTTCCAAATATGGCCCCCAAACCTCTAATATTATATGTTGCATACTTCCTTGTTTTGCTGTTTATTTATATTTGTGCTTTATTTTCATTTTAATCAGTTTCTGCTCTCCAAATATTTGGGGAAGGTAAATCCTTATTGTCAAATCTTCCTGCAGTGTAACAGGGATAATTTAATATTCTTGTTCATATTTATTCAATACCTAGCTTTCTCTAAGTGCTTATTCAGTTTTAACAATCAGCTTATGTGTTGGAAACAAATTTCTATTGATCATTCACTTGAGTAATTTCTTGCACAATGGCATGGCTAAGACTTTATTTATTTTTGTGCTCATTTTCAATGTTGATATCCCTTGCTGTGTAAATAAGACCATTGTTAAGGAAGACTACAATTTTTCATAGGTGTGTGTTGAAGAAAGTTTAAGTACTTACCATTGAAAAGCACCATTAAGAGATTATTAACTAAGAAACTGATAGTCTGATGTTGCTATAGGATGTAGGATGTAGTATATATATATATTTAGTAAAGGGTATATTCATATAGGATATCATAAGAGATATCCAGTATTTAATCTAGTATAGGAGTCTGAGAAAATATTGAGAAAAAGATAATCAAATATGAAGATATTTCAAAATGATTTTAACTTGATTCATAAATAATTTAGAATATATAGTAACATTAGAAATGATTGTGTGTAACAGAGTATAAACCTTTAGATCTGAGAGTCCTCGGAAATTACTTTGTTCATCTCCTAAATATGAGAGATGAGGGAAAATGACCCAGATGCATCCAATGCCACAGTGCAAGGGAGTGACAGATTTGAGGTTTGAATAAAGGACTCAATGACTAATTAATAATGCTCTTCCACTTGAAAATGACTCCTTAGGTTCTTAAAAAATGATAACTTAGTAAATTTATTAGGAAAATATCAGGGCACAATCAGTGTTTCTTTTTCTTGTCAGATCAGATGAGTATTGGTTGGCATTATGACCCAGCAAAATGGTGATTGTCCTTGAACTACATTCTAAAATTTGTAGTTTCAGAGAGAATTGGTGGAAATTAATATTTAATTGTCCAAAGACAGGTGTGATTTTCTGAAGTTCTTTTTATCTGGATTAACTCATCTTTTGTTTCTATGTGTAATGTCTTTTTGTCCATTTACTGAACAAAAGGCTTGGATAAAGAATATTATCAAAATCTTTTTATTCCATTATTTGTGATATGTGGGAATGCCTATTACAATAAAATGAGCGACAGTTATTTTTCAGTATAACTTGCCTATGCTGACTCCCTACTCCATTGCAATATATGTCTATGTTAGGAGAACTTGATTAATATAGTTCCCATTATTTCTCCAACTCTTTATTCATTTTACTTAGGACGAATAAGGGTAGTTTATCTGATTTGAGAATTTGGGAAAAATAAGCTCATTTCTGCATCAGTTCCACCTTTTTTTTCTCTTCGGGGCTAGCTGGCCCAGGAAAAAAGGATTCTCCACCATGCCAGCCGGAGAGAGGAGAGCTTCTATTGTTTAGTGTTGCCCGTAACAAGGTGGTAAAATCTGCCTAATTCTTGGGTTTAGTTTGCAGGTTAGTCATGGTTCTTGAAACAACCTGTGTCCTCTAACTTAGTCTCATGGGTAATAAATGTATATTTTGATCTATCTTTCTTCCCTATCTAAGTTTTCAATTTGGCAAAAACGAGGGCCCTACTCAGATATCTCAACTAATGCTCCTGGCATAGACCAACAAAATCATAACTCACAAAAATATTATATCTTAAAATTAGCTTAAAAATATAGGGAGAAGTAAACTCCCATTTTCCCCCTTTTCAATCAATTATATTAGTGAACTCTTGAGTGAGTGAGCCTCTGAGGCTGGTTATATATGAAGAGACTTCACACTAGGACACCTTCTTGGTGCTGCAGTCCCTATCTGGTTCTGTATAATGAGATCCTTCATTTCCTACCTTCTGAAAGTCTATGCTGAGCCTTCTCTCTCTCTTGGGAATCTGTCAACCTTGTACATCCAGTATTGCACAGAATCCTGGCTATCTCACACCTGCAAGCTTCTTCCTGAAAAGAAGCTCACCATTTAATTTTTATTTAGTTCTATGTCCATGTTTCTCTCCTTCCCCTAAAACTGTGTTCTCATTGGAGTTTCTCTCTCTTTGTCTCTCTGCCTTTCTCATACATTTCTATATTTCTTCCCTCAGATCTCCACCCTTGCATATAACATACACACATGTATCTGTATCTCTGTATAGTATACATTATTCTTATGTTTTGTACTATAGAAAATAATGAGTGATTTGCAGTGAATAACTCACCCACTTTGCCATGTATATCTCTATTTCTGTAGAGATATATACCTGCTATTACTCTTTAGACTCAACGGAGAAGAGTTACTGAAACTGACAGCCTAGAGAAACTGACAGCCTACCTCACTTCACCCCCAACCTTTGAAGAGGGAAGTCAATAATACAAATGGAGAGCCCATTGCAATTTGCTAGACTGCAGTGCTCGGTGTTGAGGTATAGTTGCAAATTTGATTTTTTTGAGAAGAAAATACGTGCTACTAAGAGTTTGATGAGCTTCAGTGGAGTCATTTTTTTCTTTATCTGTTGCACCTTCTTCTGACTACAACTTTTGATATTTTATATCCTATAAGTCTTCACTTGGAGTATAGTGAAAAGCAACATTTGAAATTTCTTTCTTTTGGAGCCATACTGTTAGAAAAGGAGAGATTTTACAAAAATTTAGAAAATGGTCAGTGCCTCATTTGGCAAAGCAGTATGAAGTGATAGGAATTGTTTCTAGGATGCCGAAAGTCAGACCAAATTTACCAGTGTTGGAGGAATCTTGTTTATAAGGTCTTGAAATTCAGATCATCTATGAGGTCAAATTAAACTACTCAGCAAGTTTTAACTGCAACACTGGCATTACACAGCTTCAAGGACAAGGACTAAAGTCAATTAAAGACTGAGGCAAAGTTCACTGCCAATCAACTGTGTTGAGAGGATGTCAAGTAAATTGCTCTGTGATGGGCTGAAGAAAGGCAACTTAGTGCAGGGTAACAGAGGACCTCTGCTAAGCTGACCTCAGTTCCAGTCTGTATTAGCTTCAAACATTTGAGAAGCAACTTAGATCAGGTTGATGTGAGGATAAGTGGGTGATCAAGAAAAATATCCAATTGATTGAGAGGTGAATGCAGAGCCTAAAGCCGTATCTGTCTTAATGGGGAGCAAGAGAGTTTTAAAAATTAATCTTTGGTTTCATTTAAAATATTAGTGCTAAAATATCAACAGGAAAAGAGCTATTGACTGTGTGTTGACATTTTGGGTCATAAAGGTACTGGAAGTAACACAAATATACCCTTCAAATGCTGATACAATTGAGTGACATTTACATGGGAGAAAGACATTAAAACCATATTTTCCCCTCTCAAGGATATGCACCAAGGTTAGGGAATTAAATAATGGCCTTTTCTAAGGATTTTTTAATTTATAATGTCTAGTTTTGTTCCAGGGGCTTCTTGGGCATTAAGACTGATATCCAAGTTGACCCCAGGACCTGAGGGCTTTCAGATCCTCTTTAATGATGATAAAGCCCTCTCAGGGCAGTTTTGTGTAACCTTGTATCAACATTAACCAAAAGGGTAAGCTGAAACTGAGTCATATCTCAGAGCTGATGATGACAAACAATAGTGGTTCCAAAACTTTGTCATATTTTTGTTAATATTAGCCAAATTACAGAGCAAACATTTCCTTATGCATGTAATTATTTCCTTTCAGGACAGAGGTCACATATAGCATCCTTGGAGTTCAAATAGCTTATATATAGGTTTTGTTTGTCCTTTTCAGTTTGACAAACATTGAGAATGTTTAAAAAGTTCTCCAGACCTTCAGATTCTTTTGAAAAATGAGAAGCCGTGGCACCACTCTTGCCACTTCCCTCATGGCAATGGCTTGATGAAGTTGAGTTGTGTTGCACATCCTAGCAGAGAAGCTACTTTCCTGGGTGATACCACTCCCTACCATGTGGTCCCATGTGTTAGACCAGCTGCCTTACTTACTTTACCTGAGTGGCCTTGTAGATATTTGAATTTGTGACCATGCTTTTGACAATGTAGCGCTCACGACTGCCTGGTCTATCTTCAGATTGTCTCCTGTAGACCTTTTTGTCTATCTTGCCAGTAACATCAATTTCCTATATATTTGAAAAATAAAATACTAGAACAGATGAAAAAAAATCAATCCTTATTTCCCTCACCAGCAACTGTGTCAGACTTTGCCATCTTGACCATTCTTTATTTTAAAAATTTACATTATCTGTCATATTGGTGTGGTGGGTGGTGGTGGAGAATGTGAGAAGATTAAATAAGAAGAAATTGGTATACTGACATTCTTCTTTGTGTAATATAAGATTAGCTAAATAAGTAGAAGTTAGGAAATAGGAATATTTACTTGGTGTAAAACAGTATTCATGTTGTCCTTTGCGTTTCTGTCTTGTATTCTAACAGTGCTCTGATATGTTGGTCTTTCTCTTGAGATCTAACTAACCTGTGTCACTTTGCTGCCTTTCATCTCTCTGGCAATGTGTTACATTTAATGATTAAATTTCAGTGGATATATGTGTGAACACCTTAGGCAAGCTGCTCTATGGGGAAGGAAACTCTCCTAACAGTCTTATTTTTCTTTGACTTACCAAGTAGCAAAACTCCAACTTGCTGCTCTGGTTCAGTGAGTGGAATAAATTAGGGTTAGGCATATCGGTATTGAAATTCCAGTTCTGATGGCGACCCAGTGTTAAACTGATTCCAATTTATTGCCTGTACCACATTATTCTTATTTTTTAGTTTTTAGTTGAATTTTTAACATTCTGTTCAACCAGACATTGACCAACATGATCCTTAATGTATGGATGAGGAAGGAGTGTTAATTGCCCTTTCTTTTTATCTTAGAAACACATAAACACATACAGTGAGTATGAAAGCATCCTAATCTTATTGTCATCTCTTTTAAAGAGTGCTTATACGTAATACTTCTTTACAAAAACTAACATGATTATAGAAGTTACCCCTCCCATTTAGACATTTTCTGGTCTGATTTCAAGATTTCAAATAACACCAAAACCTGAAGATGATAAGATAAAGTATACCCTCACACATTAGAAATTTGATTAGTTACTTGTTAATATTATATTTTGGAAAACAATGGTGGTATTTATTGAGTTTTACAATATGTACTGTAGGATGACTGGCAATGCAAATTGGGAGACTTTGTAGATGAAAATATCTTGATCATTTGCTTAAAACCCAAATTTACCCTACAGGGGAATAAAGCCGAAGACAGCATATTCCATGAGACATGAGTAAATCTCAGAGGAAAGCAAATAGTTTGCACAGTAAGAAACAGAATTTTTTTAAAGTACATTCCAAGGTTGGAGATGTATAAATACCTTGAACACGGAGACTAGTTTTATTCATCTGTGAATCTCCAGGGCTGAGCCCCGTGCTGATCTATGGGGAAGCACTCAGTAACTGTCAATACCTTGAATATGGTGGTGTGGGGAATTAGGCTGCTACTAAGATTTCTAGGGACAGACAGGCCCCGTGGGAATGCTTGTCTCCCAAGGACCTACCACTAATAACAAATGTCCTTCAGACAATGTAAAAATGATATGGAAACATGTTACCGTTGCTGTAATAAAATATGCTTGTTAACTTAAAGACCAGTTGAACTCAGTGTATTTTCAGAGACCCAGATAGAGGCAAGCCTTGAAAACTGCTGACTGATGCAAAAACAACTGGAAACTGAAGATACAAAAATTATGTAAGAAAGAATAATGAATTGCTCGTTTTCTTTTTCTAGGATAAATTAATGCTGGAAGAACACAGAATTTTAGAGCTCTTGAATGTACGTTCTAGCATAGTGCAAATGAATGTTAGACATGACACTAAGGATAATACTGATTAAAGGCTTTGCACATCAGTGATAGAGTTATGATCTAGATTAGTGGCTTTCAAAGTTTTCTGAACACTAGGTATGTCCCCTTAGATAGATGCATATACATATAAGTGAAAAGAACATGATTATAGAGGGTTTCTCCCAAGTGGAGACATTTTTTAGATTGATTTCAACATTTCAAATAAACTCATGATCACACTCATCCAGTTGCTCTGTGATAGTTATTTTTCCTTCTCTTTTACTATTTTAACTTAAAAATAGGTTGGTTTCAATCCATTAAATTGATTTTATGACTCACTAATAGGTTGTAAAAACCTGTTAGTGAGTCATAACTTTCATAAGTTTGAAAATCACTGTAGTAGAGCCACCAAAAGCATAAGAAACTAAGTTGATACAAATGTTTGGTTTTGTTTATTTTTTCCTTAAAGCAGTGCTTACTAAACACCTTGAGAGTACTTAGTCATTCAGTCTTCCTTGGCTTATTTAGTTAATATGTGGTAATCATTGATAAGCACACCTGTGGGAGGCAGGATTCTAAGATGACCCCCAAGATTTCCCATCCCCTCCCCTGACTGATGTTCATACTTTGCAAAAATCTCTGGAATGATGAATTGGATTTTTACTTTGGTGGTAAAAATAAAAGATTATGTTAATGGAATAGTTGATGCTAAGATAAGGAGATTTATCTAGTGGCCTGAACAAGAAAGGAAATAAGAACCGAAGGGAATCACATAACACATTTAAAAGCAGAGAGTTTTCTCTGGCTAGTGGCAGAAGAAAAAGTCAGAGATTCAAAGCATGAGAAGAATTTGATGCTCCATTACTGACTTGAAGATGGTGGGTACCACAAGGCAAGGAACATGGGCCTTCTCTGAGAGCAGCTCTGACTGATAGCCAGCAAGGAAACAGGGACCTCAGTCTTACAAAGCCAAGGAATTAAATTCTGTCAAAAAATGAGAATAAGCTTAAAAATAGACTTTGTCGTATAACTTCAGGCAAAAAACCTTGTCTAACACATTGGTTTTAACCTTGTGAGTCCTTAGCTGAGAATCCAGTCGGGCTACATCAGACTTCTGACCTACAGAACTGTGAGCTAGTACATTTATGGTGGTATATGCTACAAGTTTGTGGTAGTTTGTTTTGAAGCAATAGAAAATTAATATACTGACAAAAGTACTTTGTCATTCTTGATCGTAAAACATTCTGTTTAGCACATTCTCCCTACAAGGCAAGAAAGTATTGAATACATTATTGAATATTATAAAGACCAGTATTAAACAAGGAAGATTTTCTTTATTCTTCAATCATTCTGCTTAATTGAGGGGTTGCTTTGTGAATATTTCTGTCAATAATAATTTTTTCCATTTAAAAAACATGCCTCAGAAGATTTAAATGGCAAATTTATACACTAGATACTGGCCTGAGTTTATACGTGAAGATGAAATACATAAAGAGTAGAAACTTGCTTAATGTGGCAAACCTACAAAATGTTGGAACTGGCTAGATCACAGATATTGGATTAATTTATTCTTTGATGCATACACTTACTCAATACTATTTATCATAAGAAACATTGTTCTAGGTCCACAGAATATTGTGGTGGTCAAAACAGAAAAAGCACTTCTCTAATGAGGCTTATATTCATGTTTGGACATTATAAAATATTTTCTATAATATGGTTCTTTCAAGCTTTTTTAAAACTTGTGAAATATAACATGTATGTATATTTATGTACGTGTATATATAATATATAATTATAATATGATATATAATATATAATTACTATATAATATATATAATTATTACATAATATATAATTATAATATAATATATAATATATGTAATTATAATATAATATATTATATATGTAATTATCATATATATGTAATTATAATATAATATATATGTAATTATCATATATATGTTATATATAATTATTATATATAATGTTTTTATATAATTATATATACATATATAATTTATATAATATGTATAAATATTATATATAAATAATATATAGTCTACTCATTATATAATATGTAATATATAATATATTATATAATATATAATACAATATATAATATGCAATATAATATAATATATAATATAATATATATAATAGTGCACAAACTAAGGATGTACAGCTTAATGCTCTATAGCAAAGAAAACCTTGAGTAAACATCAAATACAGCAAAACATGATAGATAATACTCCAGGGCCCTTCATAGACCCAGTCACAAACACTAGCAATCATATCCCTGATGGTCACCCTTTTCTTGAATTTTATGGCAAACTCTTCTTGGTTTTATTATCTTACCTTCCAAGCTGGCATTCCTAAATGTAATTTTTTAAAAACTTTATAAAAATAGACCATATAGTATGTATTCTTTTGTATCTGGGTCATCTCAACATGAAAAGTTTGTGAGATTTATCTATGTTACTGTGTTCATTTTCACTGCTGTGTAGCATTTATGTGAATATCACAATTTACTTGTCAATTTCATTTGCTAGGCCTTTGGGTTGTTTCCTGTTTTGCTGTATGAACATTCTTATACCTGCCTTTTGTGTGTTTGTGTGCATGCATTTTTGTTATTTGCGCGGGAGTAGAATTGCTGGTCAGATGGCATGAGTTCAGCTTTAGTTGCAATTATAAACATATTTTCCCCACTAGTTTAATCAACAGATTCTAGAATGAGCCCCAATAAATTCCACTTCCTGGGGTCCATGCCTTTGTGTGATTTTCTTCCTTTCAGTGTGAGCAGAACCTGTGACTTCTTATCAATGGAATGTGGCAAATGTGAGGAAAAGTCACTCTCTTGATTAGATTACTTTATATAGCAAAGGTGAGAGGATGTCACCTTCATGATTGTTATATCAGATTCTATCTGAATAGACTGGAACAAGGCACTCTTGTTGGCTTTCAAGAAGTATGGTGTCATGTTTCAAGAGGGCCTATAGACATCGTCATGTGGTAAGGAACTTTGGGCAGCCTCTATGAACTCTCAAGTGATCTCTAGCTGACAGCTAGCAATAAAAGGAAACCTCAATCTGTAAGAAAATAAGTATGTTTTTCGATGAATGATGTTTCAAATCTATTAATCTTTTCCCCTTTTCCCCTTATAGTTGTTGCTTTGTGTGTTTTCATCTTCCCTGAAATAATGAATATATTATTCTATATTTATGAGTTTTGTTATTTTAGCATATAATTTATATTCATAATGTAACCATAGTTTATTTTGTGTCAAGTATATAATGGAGGTCATCTCTTTTTTTTCCTTATGGTATAAATATCTGATTTGCTGACAACAGACACATGAAAAAATGCTCATCATCTCTGGTCATTAGAGAAATGCAAATCAAAACCGCAATGAGATACCATCTCACACCAGTTAGAATGGTGATCATTAAAAGTCAGGAAACAACAGGTGCTGGAGAGGATGTGGAGAAATAGGAACACTTTTACACTGTTGGTGGGAGTGTAAACTAGTTCAACCATTGTGAAAGACAGTGTGGCGATTTCTCAAGGATCTAGAACTAGAAATACCATTTGACCCAGCCATCCCATTACTGGGTATATACCCAAAGGATTGTAAATCATGCTACTATAAAGACACATGCACACGTATGTTTATTGCGGCACTATTCACAATAGCAAAGACTTGGAACCAACCCAATGTCCATCATTGATAGACTGGATTAAGAAAATGTGGCACATATACACCATGGAATACTATTTAGCCATAAAAAAGGATGAGTTCATGTCCTTTGTAGGGACATGGATGAAGCTGGAAACCATCATTCTGAGCAAACTATCACAAGGACAGAAAACCAAACACCGCATGTTCTCACTCTTAGGTGGGAATTGAACATTGAGAACACTTGGACACAGGGCGGGTAACATCACACACTGGGGCCTGTCATGGGGTGGGGAGAGGGGGGAAGGATAGCATTAAGAGAAATACCTAATGTAAATGACGAGTTAATGGGTGCAGCACACCAACATGGCACATGTATACATATGTAACAAATCTGCATGTTGTGCACATGTACCCTAGTGAGAGGTGACAGCATGCTGGCAGCCCTCGCTCACTCTTGGTGCCTCCTCGGCCTCAATGCCCACTCTGGCTGTGCTTGAGGAGCCCTTCAGCCCACCGCTGTACTGTGGGAGCCCCTCTCTGGGCTGGCTGAGGCCGGAGCCGGCTCCCTCTGCTTGCGAGGAGGTGTGGATGCAGTGGCATGGGTGGGAACCGGGGCTGTGCGCCACGCTTGCAGAGTTTTGGGTGGGCGTGGGCACTGTGGGCCCAGTGCTCTGTGTCTAGCTAATCTAGTGGGGACTTGGAGAACTTTTGTGTCTAGCTCAGGGATTGTAAAGGCACCAGTCAGCACCCTGTCAAAACGGACCAATCAGCTCCCTGTAAAACAGACCAATCAGCTCTCTGTAAAATGGACCAATCAGCAGGATGTGGGTGGGGCCAGATAAGGGAATAAAAGCACACTGCCGGAGCCAGCAGTGGCAACCTGCTTGGGTCCCATTCCTGACTGTGGAAGCTTTGTTCTTTGGCTCTTTGCAATAAATCTTGCTCTGCTCACTCTTTGGGTCTGCACTGCCTTTATGAGCTGTAACACTCACTGCGAGGGTCCGCGGCTTCATTCTTGAAGTCAGTGAGACCAAGAACCTACCAATTCCGGACACACTAGAACTTAAAGTATAATAATAAAAAACAAAAACAAAAACAAAATATCTGATTGGCTGAGCACTGCCTGCATCTATTCCCACTGTCTGCAAAGCTATTTTATTATAAATTGACTGTAAATAAATAAGTGTGTGTTAGTGGGTCCCTGCTCCATTGTCTATTGTGATATTATCTTTTCTTTTTTCTTTTTTTTTTTTTTGAGACAGAGTCTCACCGTGTCCAGGCTGGAGTGCAGTGGCGCAATCTCGGCTCACTGCAACCTCCGCCTCCTAGGTTCAAGTGATTCTCTTGCCTCAGACTCCCAAGTAGCTGGGACTACAGGCGCCTGCCACCATGCCCCGCTAATTTTTGTATTTTTCGTAGAGATGGGGTTTCACTATGTTGGCCAGGTTGGTCTTGAACTACTGACCTCATGATCCGCCTGTCTCGGCCTCCCAAAGTGCTGGGATTACAGGCATGAGCCACCACGCCTGGCCCTGTGATACTATCTTTTCAAATATTGCTTTGCTCCATTCATTCATGTGTTTTTTCCCCTTAAATTTCAGTTGCACGGGTAGATCTTTTCATTGTCTTTTATGTCTTTTATCCTTTCTCTATGTTGTCTCTTTGCGTTTAGCTTTAAATATATTATTTGTCTTATATTTAAGTTCACTGATTCTTCAGTTCTTTCTAATCTGCAGGCACATTGATCTGTTAAGTTAATTGTGGCTATTTTATTGTATTATTTCTTGTCTAGAATTTCCACTTGTTTTTTATGTTTTCTAGTTCTTTACTGAAATTCTCAGTCTTATCTTTTATCTCTTTATGTGAAGACACGTGTTTTAAAGCCTATGGAGGACAGTGCCTTAATCTGTAGACTGTAAAGTTGTGTTTCTCTTGTATTTTATTCCTGCTGATTTTCTACCATACACATGGCTCCACATATGTACAAGATAATTTTTATTTTGAGGCTGACATTATGTTTGTAATATTGTATGAAGAAATAATTCAATGCTTAGAATGATGACATCTTCCTTTTGAGAGAATTTGTATTTATTTCTGCCTGGAGATCTAACACTCTGAAGGTTTGGAACCACTTGCTCTCAGAGATCACCTTAATACAGTTTCAGGAACTGGTAAGATTCAAAGTTAGGCTACAGTTCTTATGAGACCTATTTCCATTACTAATTTACCTTTATTCCTAGATTCTAGCCCTTTAGAGTCAAAATCCATAGTGAGGTGAGTTCACTAAGAGATCCCACTTCATGGATCTGATCCTGGACTTCAATCACTGCTGACTTATTCCCAAGAGACCATCCAAAGCTTTGCTCAGTCCCTTGGTCTCTCAGCTACTCCTTCTACAATCATTCAGTGCCCTCAGGGGGAAATTAGCACCAAACATAGACTCACCTTCCTGGGTCCCTGTACTTCTTCAGTTTGTGTTTTAAAAAGTTTTCGTTGGACCAGGTGCGGTGGCTCACACCTGTAGTCCCAGCACTTTGGGAGGCCGAGGCGGGCGGATCACGAGGTCAGGAGATTGAGACCATCCTGGCTAACACGATGAAACCCCGTCTCTACTAAAAAATACAAAAAATTAGCCAGGCGTGGTGGCAGGCGCCTGTAGTCCCAGCTACTTGGGAGGCTGAGGCAGGAGAATGGCATGAACCGGTGAGGTGGAGCTTGCAGTGAGCCGAGATCGCGCCACTGCACTCTAGCCTGGGCGATAGAGCGAGACTTCCTCTCAAAAACAAACAAACAAACAAACAAACAAAACCCAAAAAGTTTTCGTTGTCTTTAATGCCTTCAAGCAGCCTTAAAAAATTTTGTCCGGTTTCTTTAGGTATTCCCAACTGGAGAGTTGGCTCAAATTACTTATCATTACCAGAATTAGATGTTTTCAAAGCTTTTAGTTTATTGTTTATATCTTATTAAAATCAGTGATCATGAGAAAAACTTTTTTTTGAATAGCAGGATACATGTTGATATATGTTTTTGAGTTGAGTATCAGATTAGTCCCTTCTTAAGTGAGAATTTTTGAATTGGTTTTCCCTAGAAAAATATTATTTTTGAGATGATCTCTCTGCCAAACTAAAATAAACTATGTTGTTTACCCCACCAGTAGAACTTGTGAGCTACCTAAAGCTGTAGTCTTGACTTCCTTTTTTAGAGTATTGCATTAAGAAGAACTCTAGACAGATTGGTTGACATCCTTTTAATTACTACCCAGTCACTTTGGGGATAGTAGTTGATCATTGAATTTGCATCTGCTGTATTTCCTTTGGAGATCATTCTATGTATATTATAATCTTGACATTGGGACATTAAAATTTAATTTTAATTTTTTCATAATTAAGCTCTTAATATATAACAGAACATAATTTTATTTTGCTGAGACATGAACTTGACTCATGTGCTCTTTGAGGCTGGTGTAGTGCTTGGGGAAAGTCAGCTGTTAGCCCGTGACTGGGCAAGCTGGCTACTTAGAACTCTCCTCTTACTTAGATATACTATGCAGACTTGTGCTTCTCTATAATGATATTTTGAAGTGTAAGGATAGTGAAAATTCCAGGAACTAATCTAAATGTCAAGAGCCTAGTGTGTTTCATTTTAATTAGTAAAGAGAATGTGGTTTCCTCACTTAAGTTTTAAAATCTTACCACAGCTTTTGCAGACAAACAGTTGGAATATTGGGTAGCAAAAACATCTTGAAGAAATGAGCCTGTAAACTGAAAATTGTGTGAGAAACTCTATCCTAATCAGCTTTGGAAGCCAACCACATTAGACCATTTGTAAACACATGCATCTTTATGAAGAAACATCTTGGCATTCTGTCTTTAATATATGAAAGTAAGAAGGAAGTGACTTCCTATCATTCAAAATATGCATATTGAGATTTAGAAGGCAAAATAAATTCTGATCTTGGGCACTAATAGTTAAATTCTTAAAATAGATTTTGATAAGTTAGTTAAAAAAGCTCTTTACTAGTATAGTATAGTAAAATTGTTACCAAAGTATTGAGCCATTTAATCTAATTTTCTTCTTTCTTGTGTAATTTCTGAGTTTTTATAGAAGCTTAATAAAAATCTTAGGGAATAGGGGTTTAGGGTTCACTGAATTTTCTGATTAATTGGTGCTCAAGCTTATAATATTTTTATGTTGATGGAAATAAAAAAATTGCATCCACTTGACTAACTTAGTAAAATAAACTGAACATAATTGAATTTCCTCTTTTGACTGTGACACTTACAATAAATGATTCATAGTGGTCATTCAGAGCACCAGAGTTTCCTGTGTTGTTTAGAAAACTGAACTCAGGGGAAATAATTTCCTCAAATTGTGTGATATTAGTGTGTCTCTTGTAATTTCACTTTGTCCTTTAGACTTGTAGAACAGAGAATGTAATGGCATGCAAATAATGGTTAATAGAGATAGGACATCCATGTATTGGGAATAAAGTTATTTGCATTAATTTGAGGAGGTGAAATATTCACTTTTTAGACAAGAACAAAATAATGAAGTTAAAATATTTAATTGTGTCTAAAACATAATTTACATCATTTGGTATTAGTGTAAATTTGGTGGCATTTTTGGATTGTTAAATGACTGATGCTTAATAGGTAATTGGAGAAGCTATGGCAGCAATTTCCTGTAATAGCTTACAAGCTGTGTCTAATTTCTCCTTGGGGGAGAATTTCAATTGTGTATTGGTCCCCAAATATGGACAAATTTGGCTGCCAGTTCTTTCTTGAATTTGATATTCACTTTTCTGGTGAGCTTGCAGTTTTCATGTGTTTATCACAATATTTTTTTCTTCAACTTTTATTTTAAGTTCTGGGGTACATGAATCACATTTATTTTTTATGTGAAGAAATAACAAAATCCTTTGATATTTTCATAGCCAGGAATTAACATCTAGGTTTTAGAAAAATTAACGGCAAACATAAAAGCAAATGTCTTTGCTAGAAGTCTCTGAGTTCAGCTTTCAGTGCTAACAATCATCAGTATCATAATTATTCAATAAAGGGCTATTGGGAGCCTGCTGTTCTGCTGTGTGTCAGGCACAAGGATGAGCAGACTTTATGGATACATTGTGGAGCGTGGTCAACAGGGCTGTGGATCTCATGAGTTTACATTTTATAATCAATGATACCATTTCCTACATCCATACATACATACACACAGGATTTCTATATTTCAAAAGCTTTTAGCATCTTACTTGAAATATAACGTTTTGAACCTGAAGTTTAGAAATTTGCTAAGGTTCTTCATTATGTTACTGCTGTGGTGTCCAGTGTTGTGTTGTGAGTTTTCTGGTCACTCAAAAGATTACTAATTTTCCTACCCTGTGTGACACATAGGAGATATCTAAGGTGACAGTGGGGGCTTTTCTTGTTTTCTACTTTTAGTTCAGTATAGTGGCTAAGAACACAAGTATTGGACACTGTCCTAGTTCTGTCAAATTTTGAACAAAGTAGCCCTTTGGAGCCTTAGCTTCTTCACCTCTAAAATGGGTAAAATGGGGGGGTACTAAGATTTAACTCATAAGATTGTGAGAATTTATCAGTGATGACCCTTGTTGTTCTGGTATTCTGATATTTCTTGTGCTGCTTACCAGATTACTTAGCCTCTGAACTTACCAGCTCAGGAGCTGTTTCATCAGCAGAAAAATCTGTGGTCAAAACCGCTCTTCCCTGCACAATCTAACTTCGTTAACACAGAATATTTTTTTAAAAAAATATTGTATTTAACAGAAGGAAAATTTTAAGGTTCAGTGAAAAACCAGCCAACCAAATGATTTCTGTTCAGGGATTCCAAAGTGGTAAAGAATGAAGGTCTTGGATATATAGATGGTAACAAGTTATAGTTATCACCCATTATATCAATTCTGCTGGTTTCCAAAACAAGAAATAGGTTGAACTATCTACCTGAAACAGTAATTGTGGAATCCTTCTGGTATTTTCAGATTGTCCACTTGAAACATACGCCTGATTCTACCCCAACCTTTTTTAATCTGCTACTCATCTTGTTTTATACCCTGCATCCTATCCTGTGTATGACCTCACACATGCTTCTTTGGCCTTTGGTTTGTTTGTTTTTGCAGCTGGTGTCCCTGTCCTTGTCTTTGGCTTCCCTCCCTCCTTTTTCACTATGTGATCCTCAATTGAATACACAGCATGGGTTTTTTCAGCACTAGCCCAGGGCTTCTCAAACCTTAGGCACACAAATCACCTTGCCGTCTTGTTAAAATTAGATTCTGATTCAGTAGGTCTGGATTAGAGCCCAAGATTCTGTATTTCTAACAAGTTTCCAGGAGCTCCTGATGCCATTGGTTCTGGGACCACACTTCCACTAGCAAGGCTCACTTCAGCTAGTGTATTGGTCCTCACCATCCACTGCAACCCAGTCTTAGCCCCTAATTGTAGCCATGCTGACTAGTCACAAACTGTGCTTCTGCTTATGGGATAATCTATTGAATGTGCATCTGATGTCTATAAAAATCAAACTGAATCCACCTTATATGACTTTCAAGGGGGCAGAAGAAGGACAATCTTTGAAGTCTTAGTCTACTGTGGAACTATCAGATCATTAAAAGTTACAGCTTTTATGACTTTTATGCAAATATAACTACAGTTCTTTAGCAACTGGCCATATATCTTAGAAATCAAATATATTACTATTCATTTGAAATATGCTAAGATAGAAGGACTAAAATTTTGTTCCTAGCCATTCTATTAGACCTGAATAATATAGTCAAGATGGAATCGCAGCTGTTGCAAGCCCACAGTCATTGAAAAGATTGAGCATCTGAACCAAAAGAAACCTGTAATGCTCATGAGATTTCTGAGGATACCTGTTTCCCTGTTGACGGTCATAGGAGGAAATGCATGCATTTGGAAATGTCATTGAAGTTGGAATCATGTTTTTGTTTTTCAAAATTACTTCAGTGAAAGAAAGAAATAATAATATTGTTTCTGGGACTGTAAAAGTTGTATTCATTGATTTTGGAGTCAACTTTATATCAGCTCAAGTTATCACAGACAATGCTAGGCTTTGGAGTGCCCGGTGTCCACTTACTTTCTCATTTAGATAGGATGACTATTTTTGTTCCAAATTGCCATACTGTAATAAGGTAGTTTCTATGTAGATTCAGATGTTTGTTAATTAATATTTCATGAATTCACAAATATTCCATATCATTGCCCCAATTTATACCACCTTGTGGTTCAAGTTTATATGTTATAATACAACATAAGAGGACAAGTAATTAAGGGGAAAATCTTATCTTTTTTGACCTTCACAGAAAAATTTTATATACATTTAAAGACTGAAGTGTAACCAAGGCTTTAATTCTGCTTCACTTGTAACAGTTATTTTTCCACAAACAGATTGCATTGTATATATATTACTGTCTGACCCAAGTTGCTGCTTCCAGGACTGTCATTTATTTGCTAGGTATTAAGTTTGCAAGAAAGCAATATAAAGCTGCTCTCAACCATTAGCTGGGGGAGAAAAAGCTATGAGTTTTACATCAGTGAATTTGCAAAGGGCAATATATTTAGTTACCTGTATGTGAGGTGATTATACAATTGCTCTATGTCTTTTTATGTAGTGATCAATTGAGAAGGCTTTAAAAGCTTATTTGAATTTATGACTGTTGCCTGGCCCTCCTCTGGCTTTATATTAAGAAAGGTAAACAGGGTGAATTCACCCATGTGGGCTCACTGTTTGACAACTTACTGGGGCTTACACTCATTGTTGCAGGCTCTGCAGTCACTCCACATGAAAATGCTCATTAACAAGATAACAAAGGCTTAGCTGTCTGTCCTCCAGGAACTTCTTCCTAATCAATGGCTTTGTGGCTGATCTCTTTAGAGCTCCACAGCCTGCAGACTAGAACATGCTCAGCAACCAGATTCCGATTCACAGGCACAGTAATTTGCAATGACATTCTGAACATGTCAGGTGAAGGGGTCAGCTTCCAGGGCTGTACACAGCTAAAAGTTATTCAACAAATTAATCTGAAGCATTGAGTTCTCTTTTTTCCTCTTATCTTATTCTAGAAAAGATATCAGACCCCAAAAAACAAATGTCTTTTACCCATGAGGAATGATATTAGTGTTTTATATAAAAATTATATATATATAGATAAGGTTGTCATTTCTGTGGCCAAAAGCAAGAAGCACTAAGCATGCTTCTGTCCATTTTCTTAAGATATAAACTGAATCAACAAAGTCTTACACAATAGGATCTTATAGCCTCTAAAGTCTAATATATAGGTCTATATTTAGAGCCCATGGCTCAGATGTAAAATAACTATAGGAATTATAAAGTGAAGTTATAAAGCTCCCTTTGTCACTATTCTAAATAAGAGACATTCATGTAGTGTCTCTGAACTAGAAGGATAGGTTAAACCCTGCTTGAAAGTAGGTTAAAAAATCTTCTGACCAAATAAGTAAAATTTTCTGGCCTATAAGATCCATATGCATTCTAAAATCTAATCTCAAATTATTCTATCTGGAATCATTCAAATTTAAAAAAAAATCATAAATGGTAAATGATACTTAGCTTACTTCACATTTGAGGAGGCCTAGCTGCATAGCTAGTAAGACTACATAGCCATAAGCAAGGAAGTTATTCTATCAACAATAAGTGATTATTTTGAAATTTTATTGATTTATGTTCTATCAGTTTTTTCTTTAATGGCAGATATAATTTTTTTTTCTGCAGATTTTCTCTTTCTTGTAGGGAGTAGATGACCTTGTGGCTTGATTCTAATTTGTGAGCTAGTTCCTCTTTGTGAAGATTTTTGTTGTATTTGCAATTCTGGCTTTTCTTCATAATAGCAATCAAGGCTGGTTTGGGGAAGAAGGAGAAGACCTGGGATTTCCATCAAGAACACTTATCAGGTGCTCTTTTTTTTTTTTTTTTTTTTTTTGCTTTTACCACCTTTTCCATCCCAGAAAGATGTGTCATGAGAAGTAAAGAATTAAGAGTTTTCAACTGGCCCAAGGAGAAGGAACAGTCTCATTTACTGTGTTATATGGCATCATAAATCAGCAAGAATAATGTCTGTGCGACTATAATCTGGTATTAATTTGGACACTAAAAACTTAATGCTTTCCTGGCTAACCCTCAGAAATGTTGAAGGGCAATATGGGACAATGTTACTGGGGCACTCTGAGTCCTTCTGGAGGTGCGTATTTGGGAATTTGGAGAGTCCCTCTGCAGATGGGTTTTGTTAGGTTTATGTATGATTACAAATGCCATCAATGAGTAATCCAGGGGCTAGGAAAATGGTGCATTGAGTGTCTTTAACAGTTCATCCTTCATTTTTTCTTAATGCTGATATCAAGTCTCTGCTCCACTCAGGTGTATAATAAATCCTGAAAACAAGAATGTTGAAATTTTTATGAAAAGTATAGGTTTATACTTTTCTTTATGGACAAATAGATTAACATTATTTGCCGAAAGAACCAAATCAACATTCCTTTCTGCCACTTCATTTATTTAGACTTGCCATGTGGGTGACTATTCCTGTCTGGATTATGTATTCTGGACTATGTACATAAGGCTCAATACAGACTTACTCTGAATATTGTCTATTCTTCTCATTGACTAAACTGATGCTATCAAGAGTGACATACTAATCCTATGAGGAAAATGTTTTGTGGAAGAAGAACTGACACTAATAGAATCTGTATAGTTTGATAAGAGTGCAAAAACATGTAAAATTAGTTTTGGCTGAGCCCGTAAGAAGAAGTTCCAAGTACCCTCACATTTCAAAGTGAGGCGCTAGACCCCCAGAATAGGGCTTATAAAGTGGTAAGAACCATGGCTAGCCTCATCTGGGTGCATGTGTGTGTGTGTGTGTGTATGTGTGTATGTATATGACAGACACACATACACATACACGTACACATACACATACACATACACATACACATACACATACACATACAGAGACAGTTAGAGAGCACGCATCTTGAGACACAAGATGGCTACCCAGAGTCTGATCCCTGATCCATCTAGGGGAGGAAAGGGACTTTTGAGGGATATATGACACCCCAGTTAGAAGGAGTTTGAGTGGAGGTCTACTGCCCAAAACTATGGACTAAAGGGGAACTCCTTCCTGTCTAGAGGGAGGATGAATACTTACGTCAGGGAACTGTAGGGGAGATATTTCCAGGAATAGAGGTGGCTGTGATTCTGAAGACTCCCTAGAAATGTCCAGGAGAGAGAGAACTTAAGGTAACTTAAGTAGGGCCAGTAGAAGACAATGCCACATGACATTGGTACCAGTCTTGGAAGATTTGTTCTCTTTATTTATTCATTTTTGTTTCCTTTCCTCCACATCCATAGAAATATCTGGAAGCTACAGCTATGGGGGGAGAATGGAAGGAATGGTTATGGGGGATGAGGAGTTAATGAACAAAGAAACAGCCTGCCCGTGCCTCCCTTTCCTGTTGTAGGATTCCTGCCTGCAGCAAGCCTAAATTGGGCAGAGATATTTTAGGTGTATCTGGGAAACAGAGTAAAGGCCAAAGTGATTGAAGACATATTGGGGAAGTTAAGAATGGTGTGAGGTGGGGTGAGAGAGGTTAGTAGGGGCACATCACGTAGGGCTTCATAAGCTAGAGTAAGGCAGGGAAACATCTAAGGGTTCTAAACAAGGAAGAAATATTTATGAAATTATCTCACTGATGTAGAGAATGGATTGAAGGAAAGCAAGAGTGGAAACAAGGAGACCAATTCAAAAAGATTGCAAAGTCCAGACTGAAGATAACCATGACTTGGATGAGAGTAATAGGGATAGAAATAGAGGGAAGTAGTTGGATTCTGGATATAATTTGGAAGTAGTCAGTAACCTTAATGATGCTTTGATGTGGAGGTGAGGAAAAATGTTCTCAAGGATGTGTCCTAGAATTTTGCTGGAACAACTAGGTTGATGTTGCTACCGTCCATCAGTCCACCACTGAGGAGACTGGTTTTGCTTCTACCACAACAGAGTTACAATGAAAAACTGATCAAGGTTAAAAAGAAGCTTTTCATTGGTGCTATCACCAGAACTGTAATAAAATCAACATCTGACCTCAGAGGAGTGGTAGTATTAATTCCTTCACTGGCAGCAGTTTTGGCTGCAAATGGTTACTGAATTGGTGGCAGTTAACAAAGGTATTTGTGACACTGGGACAGTAGTGTGGATTCTAACAGTGGCAGAGTCACTGGAGGAGCTCTAGTGTTAGACATCAGAAATCATATGAACATTGACATCATTTTTGATGCCTGCAAGAGTAACTGAAAGAGCAGTGTTTATGGCTGACATAAGCTATGACAGTGGTCACAAGGCAGCATAGCTACCACTTTTGATGTTGGTTACAAAACGCATAAACAATAGAAACCTAAAGCAGGAAGGCAAGAAAATGATGGTAGCCAAGAGAAATAATTACTTCTTGGTTTACATGTGAAAAATTCTATGCTGTTTCCTAGAACATTTTCCAAAGGATTTATAGGATGCTTGAGTTCTCAAAGAACTAGTGGGAGAGGAATAGAAACATTTTGTTTTGTAGTTATGTACTTGAATAGCCTGCAAAATATAGATCACACACAAGTGTAGCAACTCTTGAAAGAGATAAAGTATATAAATGTGATGCTATATAAAAGCATTTGGGTATAATATAAATGGCTTAAAAATGAAAGCTATTAGGTATAAAAAATTATGGAGTGGCATCTAGAGATGTTATATGAAGTTTTGTGGGTGGGAGTGAACAAGCAATTTTGGTTGCAGTGGAGGTTTTCATTTTGAGCTGTGATTTTGGTATCTCTTCCCTTTGGAACATGAACTTTTAAAATGTCTCAACGGCTTCGGGGCACCTGGTTTTGCACTGAATTTTTGGGAGATAATTCACCATAAAATGGATGCTTGAAGCCAGATTTGGATTCGGAGCACTAGGAAGTATAGCTTTAGTGGAGTCAAGGTTTCCCTAGGATGTGATTTAGTGGACTGGCTGTAAAGTTTATTATAGTGTGGTTTCCTGGGACATATTCTCTTCCCAGCAGGGCTGTGACTCAACCTTTCAACCAACCAAATGGAGTGCGGGAAGAACAAGACTGTAAAAAAATAAACCTTTACCTGGACTTTGCAGGCATAATGTTGTTATGACTAACAGAAATTGGTCCAAAGTGCCCCCTTTCCTTTTTTGCCATTAGGCTCTTTTCTGTTTTTTTCCCCCCTGCTTTTCCCCTATTCCTAAAGGGTATAATTTCTTTGGTGAAACAGCGTGTGTGGGATTTTGAGAAATGCTTTAGAGTGAAGTGCTATCTATCAATCCAAAACACTACCAAAAGATTTATTTGTTGCCTGCCTGCTCCTCCCACCTCTCTCACCTCTTTGCTTCCTAACACATTTTTCTTCCATTTCCGTTTTTCTTCTCTCTGCAGCAGAGAAAGGCTGCCTACAGCTTTTCCCCACAGCCATTCAGCAGAACAGTCTTAGAGAGGAGTTAATGTCTTCAATGTCTCCCCTGACAGGCACTAGATTTTTTTTTTTTTAAACTCTAGCATCACTGATCTCTGGCACCAAATAGCCACCACCCTTCTCCTCTGCCCCAAATAAGATATTCTTATCAATGTGATGGTGGGTGGGCCAAGGGAACTGTTACCACTGTTACGAAGCCTGTTTTCACTTTTTCTTTTCTTTTTTTTTTTCACAGAGGAGAAAGTTGCCTTGCTGCACATGTTTTTAGGAGGAATAAATAATGCTACTCACATGATTTAAGTTGGCAAAATAACTTACCTAGCAAATTTTAACTGGTTCAGAAATGCTATTGAAGCCCAAATAGCCTAACTATAATAAGGGTGCATCTGTCTCAGTGAAAGACCATTGCATGTATTAGAAAATGAAATAATGTACAGAATCACCCTGATTTGCCCCCCCAAAATGCCCCTGCCCATTATGCATTAGTATGTAAATATCTACATCATGCTAGTCCCTTGTTGTCACATTGTTTGAACCATAGCAAAAGAACTGTCTTAAGGCTTTTGCTCAGAATAACGGAGTTCTTGTTTTTAGGTGCCATCTTGTCCAGATTCTTTATTTAGTCAATAGCGTTAGGATAGCCTCATTGATTGAAACTCTGACCTGATTATAACAATCAAAAAGTTTGGATGATTATCTAAAGCCTGTAGGAACTTAATCACATTGCTTTAGTTATGGAAATAATCCAGGTTTCCACAATCAGCTTTTCAAGCAAAATATTTGTAGATCTGGGATTGAAAAAAGACAATGTGATCCTTCTTTTTAAATAAGACCTTCCTTTTCGAACAGGCAGTGGAGAGTCTGTGTTTTAGCAGGTTTAGGCAGCATGAAATGGTGAGGTCCTTGCTGTGATCATTAGTGGTATTTCTGAATTTCTAAGAGTTAATATCAGATTGATTGTGATTGAGAATTTAAAATATCCAAATCATTTTAGCACAGCTAAGTAAGTTTTTTTTTTGCTTTAGGGTGTTATAAAAAACCATCTTAGAAACAATTGGGTTCCATTTTAGAAGAAATGTGACTTCAAAATTCTAAAAGATTTAATTGATATTTTAACTAAGTGCTCAAGTTTTTAGTTAATGTTAATCCATCTTCTGTTGACAGGTGTGTGTCTCTAGTCTCTTTTTTATTTAAGGTCATTATTTGGCCCTGGATCTCATCCCCTCTGTCTGCCTGGGGTCACTTAGGGGCCAGCAAACTCTGGCCAGAGAGCCTGCTGGCACATTTTTTTGTCAGTAAAGTTTTATAGGAACACAGCTATACCCATTCGTTTACATACTGTTTTTGGCTGCTTTTTTGGTTGAACAGTTGTGATAGAAACCTTGTGGTCTGAGTCTAAAATATTTACTATCTGGTCCTTTAAGAAAAAGTTTTCTAAGCCCTCCTTCAGTCTATAAATATACAAATATCTTTCTCATCCACACCAACCCGTGACTCTGTATAGAGCTTCTACACCTATCTAGCCTGTTTTACCTCCCTTCTATTCAAATTTCTCGAAAAGTACTCGCCACCCACTGATCTGTCTCCCACTCACTCTTCAACTCTAAACTCTTGCTTCTGCTCCTACTCTATTGTAACTACTGTTGTTTAGATTAAAAGTGATTCCTTGATTATCAACTCCAATAGCCACATTTTTTGATCCCTTCTTCATAGTATTTGATGCCAGGATCATGGATTCTCATGTAGGACTCCCTATGCTCTTGGTTTCTGTGACAGTGTTGTTAAAGAAAAAAGTTTTTATGCCACTCATTAAAGACAAGTGTTAAAATTGGCTAAGGCTGACTATTCAGGGGGATGGCTACAATGGGGTTTTGTAGCAGGACAGAGTGATGGGACTCCAAATATGATAAGGAAAAGTGGGAATTTATAGCCAAGAAGCAAGAGCAGGATGGGTGTCAGTGGATGGAAAATTACTAAGAGGAAAACCAAAGCTAAAAGGATTCTGGCTAAACTGAGGATGATCACATACCAGCAGGATTTTTGCTAAAACTGGACGAAGCAGGTCTAGGATAGAGCTCAAAGTTGGGGCCTCCTCCAAAAGAGGACTCAGAGGAGCCCCAGTAAAGTTTGGTTAAGGAGAAACTCTCTGTTAATGTATTCTCCTGTTTCGCCTATGACTTCTGTGATATTCCACCTTGTGCTTCTTTGAGGCCACATCTCAACTGCTATGACGATTTCAGCACCCATCAGGTCTTGCTTGGACAACTTAGCCAACTTCTAACTAGTTTTACCTTCCTGTCCTCTTTAAAATCTGTTCTCATATAAAGTGACCTACTTGAAACCTAACAATACTACCCTGTTTACAAAGTTTCAGTAATTACTATTGTTTATAAGAAAACTTTAAAGCTCTTTCACAGCGGCAATGAACAAGCCAGGCCTTAGGCTGCTGCCTTACCCACCATCTCCTTCTGAGGAGAATTGTCCGAGACTACTATTTTATAACCTGGATTATATGATAGGAAGAGCAAAACACATTGTGAATACAGAGTGGGATAGAGAATGTCAAGTGAAGTAGTTCAGTATTTCACAGGGTGCCTAAGGGTGATGGGGGTAGAAAGTATGGAAGAACTCTGAGTTGTGGACAGATCATAAGAAAACTAGTATGCTGTACTAGAGAATTTGTATTATTCAATAGGTATCCATTGAGTAATTATAAGCCAATTAGCATTGTCAGTTTTATATTTAAGAAAATCCATTCTTAAAATGGCACAATATTTCCAGAAAGCAATTTTTGTAATATATGTTAAGATAATGAGTGGATTATAGGTCTGTGTCTTATTTTTTTTTTTAAGTAGGAGAGATTTGAACATATTTTTATACAGCTACTAAACAGGAAAAGGCTGAAATACAGGAGAAAGATGGGATAATTGGTGGAGTGATTTACCAGGGGGACAAAGGTTGAAGGATTAGTGTGGATGGAACAAGAGCTATCTCAATAAAGGAAAAAAGAAGAGTGGGAATATCTGTGACATCAGGAAGGGTAAATAAAATTGAGGCATTTCTCACGGGCCTTACTTAACTTATGAACTGGAAACCATATGACCATCTGAGAATGATGAGAGAAATGGTGGCAGATGGTGTATAAATGAGGTGTTTGGACTAACAGTTGAGGAAAATGGGAGCTAGCGATAAATGTAGATGGGCAAAAAGATTATTTGGCAATGTTAAAGATCTTATAAGATGGGGAGTCATAAATTTATGGTGACCTCAGTAGAAAAGTCTTCTGCTAAAGTAATCAGCCAATCATAGTGGACTAGGAGAGTGGGAGGTGGCTGTTTGGTTAGACAGGTACAGGCCTGAAGTTTTGTTATGTGAAGAGGTCACAGAGGTGAAGCATATTGACAAATACCATTTTTGAAGTCCTGCATCTCAGAGTCTAAGGCTGGCTGCAGATGGAGTTTACTTTCACAGATTCAGAATTATGATTGGTACACAAAGCATCAGCCCATCATGTTAATACTCTTCAGTGGTTCCTAATTGCTTTGCATGTTAATGCAATCTATCAGTAATCAGCTTTAATGTCCTCCAACTGTTAGCTCTCTTTTTCCTAGCAGTTGTGGATGTTTTAAAAGGGAGAATCTCAGGCAGAATTGAAATGAACTATGAAGAACACCCAGTTTATGGAGGCAGCCAGCTTGCCTAAGTCTGTATTCCTCGTTTTGTTCCTTTGAAAATATTTTCTCATTCTCAAGCTTCCTTTGTCCTCTTCTATCTCAGAACCTTTTGTTGTTCATTTATTCAGCCAATAAATATCTGAGTATTATGTATAAAACACAGTAATTAAAGTTTAGTGACATCATCTGAGCTGGAATGTTTAGTCTTAGTATTTTTGGACAGGAAAGAATTTTAGAAGTATGCTTGATTCTAACGTGTTGGGTGCTAGCAGGTCTAGCTGGGACTTTTTCAGAGCTAATGGGTAGTGCTATATGATAAGGGGCCAAAAACTCACAGAAAAAATAAGGTAACTGCATGAAACCAGCAAAGGCAAACATCTCTTACTTAGTGGGAAAAGACTCATTTGCACTTTCAGTCTCTCCTTCTCTGATACTATCTCTACTGTGTATTATAAGATATTGGTGGCTAAGGAGATAGGAGTTTTAATCTATATAAAGCTTTCTTTATGTTTATTTATTTGTGCTTGACTTGTGATGGCATTTTCTTGCCTCTTCTCCTACCAGACTAGTCCAGGAAGGTAATGACTGACATAGGGTACATGCTCAAATGTGTGTGTTGAATGAATGAATGAATCATGCTGACAGACATCATGAGCCTAGTAAAGTTTTCTAATCTGCAAGCCAAGACTGGGTTATGTTATAATCCAGAGAACCCAGTGAACCCTGGCTACTGATATGATTAACATAAATTTCCATAAACTCTTTTTCTATGAGGTTTATTTCAGACAGGTCAATCATTTTGCAACCTCTCATGTGATTGGTTACTGCCTTCTCTACTTTCTGTCTGAAATATCTTCCAGGCAAGTTGCATCTGAAAAACTAATCTAAAGAATACAAATTGTCACAAGTTATTTCCTGCCGACCATTACAATCACTGCCAAAGGCTTCACCCATTTCTTCATGTTTTCTGTCTCCTCATTCCACAGTGCTATCAAGTTCTGGGAGAAACAGCATTGCCCGATAATGTGTTAATTATATTTTTATGCCTTGACAAATATCTGGGACCTGATAGCGTGGTTTCTTGTATCTGCTGAAATAAGAAAACAAACAAAACAAATAATAAACAAACAAAAATAACCAAATGCTTCTATGTGCAGGTTCTTAGAATACATAAAAGTCACTGTCTGATGCCTATATCTGTAGCTATATCATGTCTTTAGATTTTTAAAATTATCTTTTTGAGACATAGCCCATACTGTTGCCCAGGCTGGAGTGCAGTGGTGCAATCTCAGCTCACTGCAATTTCTGCTTCCCAGATTCAGGCAATTCTTATGCCCTAGCCTCCGGAGTAGCTGGGATTACAGGCATGCACCACTGTAATTTTTGTATTTTTTAGTAGAGATGGGGTTTCACCATGTTGGCCAGGCTGGTCTTGAACTCTTGGCCTCAAGTAATCTGCCTACCTCGGCCTCCCAAAGTGCTGGGATTACAGGTATGAGCCATCGCGCCTAGCCTAGAGTTTTTGTTTTTTTTTTTCTCTCAATAAATGTAAGTCTAGAATTCATTTACCTTCTAACTTTCCATAGTTTTTCACTAAGTGGGTATTGATAAATGTCATAGCCTGGGGAGGTAATTTTTCTTGAGAGCCTCATTTGGTTCTCATAATAAACCTATAAGTATTATCTTCATTTTGCAGGTAAGGAAGAGGTTCAGAGAGATTAAGTAAATTGATAATAGCAATGGTTGTTATTATTATCAGAGTAGCATTAAAATAGATGATAATAGAAACACCAGGCTAGGTAGGTAGTATTATCACCATTTTACAGATGAGCTAGTTTCAGTTCAGAGACAAAGTATTTTGCCCAAGGCCATTCAACTAGTACTAGATGTGACAGAGGCAAGTTTTTCAGCCTGGGTCAGTCTGACTTCAACGTGCGTGCTCTTCCAGGCTGACTGACTTGTTTAACTAAGGGCTTTTCTCTCAGCAGGGGACTGTTCTTGAGTTTGTACAGCTTCCCTGTAACAGAGAAATTACTGGATGAAATTGTATGCTGTCTTGTCCAATTATAAGACAATCAGTGTTGAGAACACCTTACAGGCTAAAAGTGAATGTTAACACTTCTGTTCTTTTACCAGTATAGTTTAGTCCTGTTCTTAGGAAAGTAAAACATGATAAGCAACAACAAATAAAAATCCTACTGCTGTTCACTGTCTTTGCCTTCTTCGTTCTTTTCTCCTTAGTTGGTGCCAAGGTAATCACCTAATACACAACCCCCAGGAGAATTATGCTGACAGGTCCTGATGTTCCACTACTGTGTTTTCATTGAAGCTGTGTAGTTACATCTTTGGTCAAATGGAGATAAGCTGTGAGAGATGCTGGATGGCATTTTTCAAAAGGGAGTGAAGATCACAGCAGCCACTTCTTGCTGACTATCAGGGGAAGGGAAAAGAAGGAAAATGAAATGAAAATGAAAAATAGTTTTTTTCGTATTGCCATATTAAGGTACTTTTCTAGCTGTGGTCTCTACACATTTAATCACATCCAACTAGCTGATGAAATAAAAGCTCTCCTCCCTTGGCCCCATGCTAATTATTCTTGCTAATTATTTTTTAATTATCTTTCTATCACTGCTTCTAGAGTAACTGTCATAATTTCCACCTCAGAGGTTCCAGACATGACATACCTATAAATGTAGTATAAAGGATGGTGACTGGGTTGTGAATGCTTTCAAAGGAAACACAGAAGAGAAATCAAATCCAACCCCATCTTCTACCACATTAGCATGGGCGAGGCTTTCAAATTGCTTCTGTTAATTATTCATTATAGAAACACATACACACTAAACCCCTTAATTAGTTGAGGGTTCACATTACATAGTTCATATCTCCATATTTGCAGGGTGTCTGACAACATGTTGGACAAAGCAGTGCTCAAACAGCCTGTTAAATTGTCTGACCTAACCTGGGTAATTAAAACAGGAATAAGGTTGGATATTTGCCTTTGAGGTCCACCAAATAATATCTAACTCTTTTGCAGTAGAGTGAAGCCATTAGCCCTATGCTAAGCACTCAGTGTTGGGGGGGATATAAAATTATTTGGTTTCTGTTCTGTATTCTCAAGTAATTTATAATCTCAATAGAAAGGCAAAATGTACACATGTGACATTAAAAAATTTAAGGACTAAAGAAGTGGTGGACATTGTAGTGCAGACCATTAGGACAAACTTTCTGTGAAGGACAATTGGATGGGAGGACATAGCCAAGCATGCAGAAGAATTTCAAGGGCTTGGTGGTGGCCACAGACATGGAGTAGTCAGTGGGAAGATGGCCTGATTGAACTGAAGACTATGTGAGAGAATACCAATAGATAAGATAAACAGCAGTACATATAAAATATAAGCTATGTAGTAATACAAATAGCAATACTTATAGCAATATGTATAGCTAATATATAGCATATATATCATATGAGGTGTTATACACTTACACAGGATATCATTGGTCAAGTTCCTTTTCGAAAGCCTGAAGTCCTGCAATACTCATAATACAGTTAGCTTTTCTTCTCTTATATGAGATTAATAAATTGTACCTAAAGTCAGTCCCATCAAGATCTGGGTGTTTGTTTCTCAGAAAGACAGATTTTTGTATTATCATCACAACTATATCACATGATAGTTATAAAGTCTCTTGCAAACTCTTTATCCAGAAATTGGGCCAGCCTGCAGTTTCATTAATGTGGCTATGAAAGATCTGGGAAGAACCTGTCCCTTAAAAACAATTCATATTAAATAATCAAGGTTGATTGGATAACCATCTCTTCCAATCATTTCTAAGACAGGTTATAAAGGTCTGTCCTCCCTACTCCATTAAAACAGGCAGTGAATTGAAGTCAGAACCCTCAGTGTCTCCCCTCAAAGAGTTGGGTTATCTAGTTATGCTCAAATATATGAGAAAACAGATCATCTTTCAAGTGGAGTCTAAAACAATGCTATTATGTCTGAATGTGTTGAAATGACTGAACAGTAAAATAACACTTAGACTGGTTTTCAAATTTTTTTATGTTCCAAAAACCATTAAAAAGTCTTGTAGTTTTTTTAGAGACTGATATTCATTTAAACTGCCTCGACCCTACCCAAAATTTCAGATTATAGAGTCAGCATAGATCAATGTTCAGATTCAAGCTCTGTCATTTGTCAGCCATTGGACAATTGATTTAATGCCTTTTAACCTTATTTAATAAATAAAACTTCTTGCAGAAGTCTTAGGAGAAAAGAAACTTGAGAAAATTTTGTCCTGGAAAGATCTGTCTGGTGGTATAAAGGTTATTAATCTTAGGTGCATACAAATTGGCCCTGGTTCTTAATCTAAAGGCTTCCAGAGAATTGTTTCTTAAAGCTTGGTTCATCAAATGCTAATAGTTTTTACCCATGTGAACAATACAAAAAATGTTCTCAAAAATAAGAAGAGTAGGAAATTCAAGGTTAAACTAAGTGAAATAGTATTCTTCATTGCTGAACTTCTCAGAGTCTTAGATTTACCTATTTGGATGTCTATGGAGTAATAGGCAGAATTTCCCCAAACTACTTGCTGACTGACCTGTTTTTTGTGGAGCACATTGTGGAAGTAATGATTAAATGCCCCTTTCCTGCAGACTTTTCCACTGGAGAAAGTAGAGGCAAGCAGTCTGATGGCTGCTCTGTCTGAGCCACAGTAGCTGAAATTAATGGTTCCAGCATCAGACAAGCACTTGGGCCTCTAGCAAAGGAAGGAAAGACTGATCCACACTGCTCTGCCACATTACAGTGATGGTCCTGATAGCCAAGAGAACTGATGTGAATAAAAACATAAAAATGCTTACTTTTGTGGGTTAGGAATCTAGACTTTTCATATATATGGAAAATGAACTGGAAGGTGACACCTTTACTTTTATATTTCTGCATTGAGACAAATAAGAGAAGGAATAATAATCCAAATAAATCTGGACAAAGTTAGACAAGAAAAGGAAATGAAAATTATTGAGTGTCTGTACCTGTAGGCTGGTAGTATTATAAATAAAACACACAGCATGGGTGATGGAAAAAATTATGAGATATAAAGATTTGATATATAAAAAAGGTCTTATTGCTGCAGGATAACAGAAAAATTTTAAACATTATTGTGCAATGTGTTTGCAAATAGAGTGATGAAGGAGTATAAATGGGAGGATTATTGACTAATTTTCACATAAGAAGAATACATTTAAGAGAGAAAGTTAGGTTTTATGAAAGGTTTAAAAATAAAGCTGCTAGGAGTAGGTATATGTTACAGACCTCTAGGACAAAAGAGATAAGTCAAAGAAATATATGAAATGATAAGGGAGCAATGGAAGATAACAAGATTAGACTTAGTGCAGATTTCAAACTCCTTATTGTGATGTGTGATTTGTCAAACTTTTGAGACAAGGTTAAAGTGAGGGAAAAGGACATAATGGATTTTCTAAATGGTAGATCACAGGTTCTTTTAATTTGCAAAGTCACAACTGACAAGGGTTTCTCAAGCCAGTCTGGTTAGGGTGAAATTTTCAGTTCAGCTATAAATAGATTTCAAACACTGTCATATACAGAAGTATAGATCAGTGCAAACTTTTATGGAGTGGCTTCTACCAAAAGAAAATATTCTTTGTACTATGCAAATGAATAGCAGTGAAAACTGCTCCAACATTTTCTGATGTTCCCCTCAACATTCAGTATTATTCCAAAGCAATATTAGCTGGGATTGGATAAAACTCGGTTACTCTGCTATTCCTGAATTCTTCATGGCAGCTGTCTCGCAGTTGAGTTCATACAATCTTAGGAAGTCCCTGCTTGAGCATCAGGGTCATGGTAAGTAAGTTTTCCTGCAGAGCCCCTGAAATGAAGGAAATAAAGGAATGAAATTAAAATAACCCTGTAAATAACTTATAAAGTAATAAATTAATCTTGGATGTCTATATGTGTGTCATTATGAGCATACTGTTGATTTTTACATACTCTTTACACAGAAAACCTTGTTTATTAACAATCCTATTCACCTAGGATTGGTCAAATCTTTCTGAATTCTAGGTAAATGGGAGCCAAATTGCAGCATGCTTCACAATGTGTTTCTTCCTCATCCTCCTTGAATTGTATTTCTGGCTTTGCTTTTTCCATAAAAGGTCTAGTAATATCTTTCCATTCAAGATCTGAAAATATCTTGGCTCCGTGGCCCTGCAAGCTCCTTCTTCATTTGATTTAAGCTTTAGTATTATTGTGCAAGTGTGTCTGTCTTTCCTACTATTGCTGCCTGTGCTAGCCTTTTGCCACTGCTAGCCTTTTGCTACTGCTAGTCCTTTTCATTTACTTCTGTTTATGCATGCACTTTCATTATACTGTGGAGTTAGAGATACCTCAATTAAGTCAGGAAAAGTTACAAGTTTTTCTTTTACCTCTTTCGTTAATTTTTTTCTAGCATAGAATTATGTGCTACTTTTTTGGGGCACCAATTTGCAGTTTTAATTAGGTTACCAATTTAATAATTTTCCCCCAAAAAATTTCAGTATTTGATTGCAAACCACACATATTCTTTGGCTGCTTAATATGGGCCAAGTATTTAGTAAAGTGCAAGAAGAAAATATCTTCCCTTTCAAACAACTCATAATCTAGTGGAGGAACTAGAGGTAGGCAGCTATGTAGGACTATAGGTTGAGGGCTATCATAGAGGTTTCTATTTGGTACTATGTGAGCCTAGATGAAAATGGCAAAGCAAAAAGAAGTCAGGGAACGCTGTATAATGAAGATGAGGTTTTAGTTGAGTCTTGAAGTTATAAATTATTAGAAAGGTTCTGTTTAGACTTCAGCTCTCCTGATAGCTGTGATCTTTTAGCTATATCGGTTATATTTTTTATTTTGTAATATGTTAAATACAAAAGACTTAAGTTTAAAGACATGAAGCCTGCACAAAAAAGGGAGGTCATATATTTGTAGTAGTAGGGTTTTTCAAATTCTGTCATTTATTTCCTTTTATTTTCCAGTATAAGAAAAGATAAATGGAAAAATAAAAATATTCTTGTTCATTTTCTAGTTGATATTTTATGGTCCATTAACTCTCTTTTCATTACCCTAAACTATCTTGTCTGGGTTTTTTTTTTTTTTTTTAAGTTAAGCAACTGATCAAACTTTCACTTTAGAAAACCCCAGCTATTGGCATTCTCCACACCATAACTTCACCAGAGCAGCTTAGCAGTGTTGGAGAAAGTGTGTAGAGGGAAGCATCTACATCAATGCTTAACAGTCTGTTTTTCTGGTTGCCTCATTCTCTTACTCTTACATAAAAATGTATTCTCATTTATTTTCACATCTCCAATAGCTTTTACCTTGCTCTCCTTTGGCTTCGCATATCCTAAGCAGATTATATCTACCTCACAGATAAAACTGAATGATCAGATGGGACTGGCCTCATATCAGATCCTACACATCTGAGCTGTCCGCTACAGTTCCTCTAGCCTCTGGCTTTCTTGTTTTAGAGGATCTATTTAATCCTTGCACCATGGCTTTGGAATCTATCATTCCCACATTTTCAGGAAACTTATACCATGAATTATCGTTTGTTTCTTGAATTGTTTCAACCCTTTATCACTCAACCGAATGTGTCCCATTGTTTTTATAATATACTCAGAATACCTCAATAAAAATATGTCATAACAATTACTCTCCCCTGCTTGTAGCTATTGCCCTATCTCTCTTCTGTTCTCAGACAAACTGTTAAAACAACAACAGCAGGCTGGGCGCAACGGCTCTCACCTGTAATCCCAGCACTTTGGGAGGCCGAAGCGGGCGGATCACGAGGTCAGGAGATCGAGATCATCCTGGCTCACACAAGTGAAACCCTGTCTCTACTAAAAATACAAAAAATTAGCTGGGCGTGGTGGCGCGTTCCTGTAGTCCCAGCTACTCGGGAGGCTGAGGTAAGAGAATCGCTTGAACCCGGGAGGCGGAGGTTGCAGTGAGCAGAGATCCCGCCACTGCACTCCAGCCTGGGCGACAGAGTGAGACTCCGTCTCAAACAACAACAACAACAACAACAACAACAACAACAACAACACAACAGCAGCAGCAGCAAACTTATTTATACTAGTTTTTGCTCATTCCCTCATTTCCCACTCATTAACCTACCTGATAAACTTTGGCTCTGTGTCCCCACCCAAATCTAATGTTGAATTGTAATTCCCAATGTTGGGGGAGGGACCTGGTAGGAGGTGATTGGATCATGGGGGCAGATTTCCCCCCCTTGCTGTTCTCATGATAGTGAGTGAGTTCTCCTGAAATCTGATGGTTTAAAAGTGAGTGGCACTTACCCCTTTGCTCTCTTTCTCTCCTGCCACCATGTGAAGATGTGCTTGCTTCCCTTTCGCCCTTCTGCCACAATTATAAGTTAGCTGAGGCTTCTCCAGCTATGCTTCCTATAAGGCCTGTGGAACCTTGAGCCAATGAAACCTCTTTTCTTTATAAATTACCCAGTCTCAGGTAGTTCTTTATAGCAATGTGAGAACAGACTAATATACTACCCTAATCTGGATCTGGCCCAATCACTCCATAGTGAAACAGCTTTTGGTAATGTTACCAACTTATTGCAATAGATTTTTTTTTTGGTCCTTATCTCATGTAACTTCTCAGAAATATTCTATCCACCTGACAAATCTTTCCTTTAGAAATGCTCTCCTTGGCCTCTATGACACAGCATTCTCCTGGTTCTTTCCCTAACTCTCTGGCTTTTGTTTATTTTCTCATCACAGACTTATATTCTTTCTTTAGTTGACAGAATCTGGAGTTCTTCAATGGTTAGTCCTAGACAGCTTCTTTCCTGCTATATTCTAAATGTTTGCTTCCCCACAAATTCATATGTTAAAATCCTAAACCCCAAGGTGATTGTCTTAGGAAGTAGGGTCTTTTGGGAAGTGATTAACTCACAGGATACTATTTTATTTGTGCCTAATAAAATAGGCTGAAGGGAGCTCCTTTGCCCCTTCAACTATGTGAGGAAACAGCCAGATGGCCTTGTGTGTGAACTGGAACATGGACCTTACACAGACATTAATCTGCCAGTGCCTTAATCTTGATTTTTCTCCAACCTCTAGAACGTGAGAAATAAATATCTTTTATTTATAAGCTACTCAGTTCATGGTATTTTGTTATAGCAGTCCAAATGGACTATGACATCTTTTCACCTTATATTCTTTTTCCAGGCTGTTTCACTTATATCCACGACTGTTATTTTAACCTATATGCAGAAGACTCATAAATTTTCTCTTTACTAAAAACATTACTGTCAATTCCAGATGCATATATCCAATTCTCATTTGACATCCCTCCAGGGAGCCTCAAACTCAACGTAATAAAAAATTGAATTCAATATTTACCCCCTTCTCAAAATCTGATCGTTTTCTCACAACACCAACACAATGAATGGTACCAACTTCCATTCCCTTGTTCAAGCCTGAGTTCTAAGGGCCATACTTTGACATCTCCATTCCATGGTGTATATGTACCACATTTTCTTTATCCAGCCTATCATTGATGGGTGTTTGGGTTGATTCCACGTCTTTGCTGTTGAATAGTGCTGCAATGAACATACATGTGCATGTATTTTTATAATAGAATGATTTATATTCCTTTGGGTATATACCCAATAATGAGATTGCTGAGTCAAATGGTATTTCTGTCTAGGTCTTTGAGGAACTGCCACACTGTCTTCCCCAATGGTTGAACTAATTTACATTCTCACCAACAGTGTAAAAGCACTCTTATTTCTCCACAGCCTTGCCAGCATCTGTTGTTTCTTGACTTTTTAATAATCACTGTTCTGACTAGCGTGAGATGGTATCTCACTGTGGTTTTGATTTGCATTCCTCTAATGATTAGTGATGTTGAGCTTTTTTTCATATGTTTGTTGGCCACATAAATGTCTTCTTTTGAGAAGTGTCTGTTCATGTCCTTTGCCGTTTTTTAATGGGTTTGTTTGATTTTCTTCTTGTGAATTTGTTTAAGTTCCTTATAGATTCTGGATATTAGACCTTTATCAGATGGATAGATTGCAAAGATTTTCTCCCATTCAGTAGGGTGTCTGTTCATTCTGATGATGTCTCTTTTGCTATGCAGAAGCTCTTTAGTTTAATTAGATCCCATTTGTCAATTTTTGCTTTTGTTGTAATTGCTTTTGATGTTTCCGTCATGAAATCTTTGCCTGTGCCTATGTCCTGAATGGTATTGCCTAGACTTTCTTCTGGGATTTTTATAGTTTGGGGTTTTACATTTATGTCTTTGATCCATCTTGAGTTAATTTTTGTATGAGATGTAAGGAAGGGGTCCAGTTTCAATTTTCTGCATATGGCTGGCCAGTTCTCCCAGCATCATTTTTTGTTTGCTTGAAAAATACAGTATTTATTGTAATGACTAGAGTAGCAAGAAGAAAAAAAAACTAAGTGGAACTACATGTTTAGCAACAAAGCTGAATAATTATGAATATAAAAAATTGCTATTTGGAGAAAATATATTATGTTCATTGCTTAGAACAATGAATGATACTTATATATGTAGGAAATATAGAAAAGTAAAATAGGTTAAGGTAATAAGGATATAGGCAATTACATTTTTATTTTAAATTTTATATAGACATTTATTTTTCCTTACAAACTGGGGTAGTTAGGAAATCCAATAATAGCTACTTCGCTTTTATTTAAATAGGGGATCCTTTCCCTATTGCTTGTTTTTGTCAGGTATGTTGAAGATCAGATGATTGTAGATGTGCAGTCTTATTTCTGAGTTCCCTATTCTGTTCCATTTGTCTATGTGTTTGCTTTTTTATCAGTACCATGATGTTTTGGTTACTGTAGCCTTGTAGTATAGTTTGAAGTCCAGTAGTGTGATGCCTCCAGCTTTTGTCTTGTCCATATGAGATCTTTTTTGGTTCCATATGAATTTTTAAATAGTTTCTTCTAATTCCATGAAGAATGTAAATGGTAGTTTAATGGGAATAGCATTGAATCTATAAATTATGTTGGGCAGTATGGCCATTTTCTTAATGTTAATTCTTCCTATTTATGGGCATAGAATGTTTTTCCGTTTGTTTGTGTCCCCTCTGATTTCCTTGAATAGTGGTTTGTGGTTCTCCTTGAAGAGGTCTTTCACTTCCCTTGTTGGCTGTATTCCTAGGAATTTTATTCTCTTTGTAACAATTGAGAATGGGTGTTCATTCATGATTTGGCCCCTGCTTGCCTGTTGTTGGTGTATAGGAATGCTTGTGACTTTTGCACATTGATTTTGTATCCTGAGACTTTGCTGAAGTTGCTTATCAGCTTAATAAGCTTTTGGGCTGAGATGAAGGGGTTTTCTAGATATAGAATTATGTCATCTGCAAACAAAGACAATTTGACTTCCTCTCTTCCTATTTGAATGCTCTTTATTTCTTTATCTTGATGGATTGCCCTGGCCAGAACTTCCAATACTATGTTGAATAGGAGTGGTGAGAGAGGGCATCCTTGTCTTATACCAGTTTTCAAGGGGAATGCTTCTAACTTTTCCACTTTCAGTATGATATTGGCTTTGGGTTTGTCAAAAATGGCTCTTAGTATTTTGAGGTGTGTTCCTTCAATACCTAGTTTACTGAAAGTTTTTAACATAAAGGGATGTTGAATTTTATCAAAGGCCTTTCTGCATCTATTGAGATAATCCTGTGGTTTTTGTCTTTAGATCTGTTTATGTGATGAATTATGTTTATTGATTTGTGTATGTTGAACTAGCCTTGCATCCCAGGGATGAAGCCAACTTGATCATGGTGGATAAGCTTTTTGATGTGTTGTTGTATCTGGTTTTCCAGTATTTTATTGAGAACATTTGCATCAATGTTCATCAGGGAAGAAAGGGTATCAGCTCTTCTTGTACTTCTGGTAGAATTCAGCTATAAATCCATCTTTTCCTGGGCTTTTTTTGGTTGGTAGACTATTTATTACTGCCTCAATTTCAGAACTTGTTATTTGTCTGTTCAGGGATTCAACTTGTTCTTGGTTGAGTCTTGGGAGGGTTTATGTGTCCAGGAATTTATCCATTTTGTCTAGATTTTCTAGTTTATTTGCAGAGCTGTTTATAGTATTCTCTGATGGTTGGTTGTATTTCTGTAGGGTCAGTGGTGATATCCCCTTTTTCATTTTTTTTTTCTTTTGAGATGGAGTTTCATTCTTGTTGCCCCAGGTGGAGTGCAATGGTGTGATCTTGGCTCACTGCAAACTCCACCTCCTGGGTTCAAGTGATTCTCCTGCCTCAGCCTCTCAAGTAGCTGGGATTACAGGCATGTGCCACTATGCCTGGCTAATTTTGTATTTCTAGTAGAGACTAGGTTTCACCATGTTGGTCAGGCTGGTCTCGAATTCCTGACCTCAGGTGATCCACCTGCCTCAGCCTCACAAAGTGCTGGGATTACAGGCATGAGCCACTGTGCCTGGCCCCCTTTATCATTTTTTATTGTGTCTATTTGGAGAATCCCCTTCTTAAAATCTTTTATGCACTCCCATTTCTAATTTATAATAAGAACTTTATTAAGATAAGTTTATGTAATATAAAATTGACCCTTCTAAAGTATATAATTCAGTGCTTTATAGAATAGTCACAAAATTTTGTAATCATCACTAGTATCTAATTTTAGATTATTTTCATCATCCCCAAAGAATCCTCCTACCCATTAATAGTCACTCTCCATTCTCTCAGCTCCCCTCAGCCCTGGACATCTACTTTTTGTCTCTATGTATTTGCCTACTCAGTACATTTCTTATAAATGAAATGATACAATTCCATTGCTTTTTGTATAAAGGCAAAACTCCTTAACTTTGGCTCTAAAACTGTACAAAGCCTGGCCCCTAATTCTGCTCAGGTCTTATCTCAAATTATGCTCTTCCGTAGTGTCTGGATTCCCTTCATATTGGGCTTCTTTCCTCATTCCCCACTTTCCAGGCTTCCTCTGAGTAACAGCTTTTGCACATGTTGTTTCCTCTCTCCCTCTCTTATCATCTAGTAAACTCTGCCTCATTGTTCAACCAAAGCTCAAGTGTCCTGTTTTCAGAATAGCCTCCCCTAACTCCTCTGAGTATCTCCAATCTTCCAAGTACAGGGTCTGATAGCACCGATTACTTCTACTGTCCAGCACTGCCAGAGTTGTAATATCCATTTGCTTTTTGAATTATTCAAGCAATGTTTTTTTTCTCTGGTCCAGGCTCCATGAGATCAGGGACCACGTCACTTTTGTACACCATTGTAGCCCTAGAGTCTCACATATGGTAGTAGAAGCTGATTAATGTTTACTTAACAAATCAAATAAGTTTGGAATAAAAAGATTTACAGAAAATAGGTGCTGAAGTTGAGCTGATTTTAGAAAGAAGATGAAAATACAACAAGCACAGTATTTAGTAGTGGGAGGATGCAGCAAATGTTAATGGGGTTAATATTTCTGGCATCCTGGGATATACTGTTGCTTATCTTTCTGCACCTTCTTGCCTCTCCTTCCTCATCTATAAAATGAGGATTACATTTGCCTTTTTATGTCCCAGACTAATTAAAAGACTCAAATTAGTAATGTATTTGAATAAGGTTTTCAAACAAGTTATTAGAAAGTGTTCTATTGGCCAGGCATATTGGCTCATGCCTGTAATCCCAGCACTTTGGGAGGCTGAGGCAGATGGATCACAAGGTCAGGAGTTTGAGACCATCGTGGCCAACACAGTGAAACCCTGTCTCTACTAAAAATACAAAAATTAGCCAGGCATTGTGGTGCATGCCTGTAGTCCCAGGTACTCGGGAAGCTGAGGCAGGAGGATTGGTTGAAACTGGAAGGCGGAGGCTGCAGTGAGCTGAGATCACTCCACTGTTTGCCATTGCACTCCAGCCTGGGTGAAAGAACAAAACTCTATCTCAAAAAAAAAAAAAAAAAAAAAAAAGAAAAGAAAAGAAAATGTTCTATTAAATCACCAAGAAATGTATATTAAATAATCTGGTTATAGTGTATAAAACCAGATTATGTGAAAAAATTGGAAGAATGACAAAAATCTCCTCATTCTTGTCTGTAATATACATATTTGTTAGTTATGAAGATTAAATCTGTTTTTATGATTGAATGTGAAAGACACTTTGCAGTTTTATCAAAAAGAGGAGGAGTGATTTGATGTAAGGTAAGAAAGATGACATCTGTGACAACAGGGTTAGGTAGTAGCCAAAACCATGAAAGCTGGCAGAACTCCTTGAGAACATAGATACGATTGAATCACGAAGATGTTCAAGGTGAGTTTGCTGAGTAGGAGTGATGTAAAGTTTGTTTAGGAAGAAAAACGCAAGAGATGTCTATGGAAATGGGTGTTGCATTTGAAAATAACCATATTTTAGTTTCGTATAGTTGATTAAATAAATTATACCACTTTAATTCAAGTATTTCTCTGAGTTCTGTGTATTCACTCATCAGTGGGTCATGTAGGATATTATGTGGAGACCAATCTCCTTAACACTAGAGAGAAGGAAGATCGGCTTTAACACTAAATACAGTGCCTGTATATAAGTGTGTTACATACATTTATGTGTGATTTCTATAGGCTTAGCATGTGATTTGGTTATTATATATGCCGAGGAGAAAAAGATCATTTATGAATGCTTAAATTCCTAATATTACAAAATTTTAGGAGAGATAGGGCTTTAGCCATCATTGTGTTACAATCCATGGAAGGTATGGCTTTTTATGGACTCACAGCTGGTTAGAGGCAGAAGCAGACCTAGAGCACAGGTATGGTATTTCCAATCATTGTTTTTTACTACTCACACTCTTCATTCCTAAATGAAGGAGATTTTCAGCAAAGAGAAGAAAAATGGTGGAATTGCAGCAAGTAAATATTCTTGATGGACGAGGAAGATAAGTTATCTTATTGTTCCATTCCATTTGCAGCTATCTCCATTTTTAGCTGTACCACCAGAGTTTGACTTGTTTACATTCTCACCTGCAGACCACTGTAAAGGGGCCCATAATCTAGTTCCAGCAACATTACCCTTTCAATTTAGGGCTACCATGAGTCAGTTGAGAATGTTAACCAGGAAAGATTTGGGATAAAGGGTTGGACAATATATAAGAGTCTTTGGCAACCTTGTTCTTCTTTAATTCCAGTAAATGTCAACATGTATTAGCTAAAGAACCAAACAAAATATTAAGAGTGTACTGATCTAATGGTAACTGAGGAATAGATTATACTGTTCAAGGACAGTCAATATACCAGGTTTTAAATATTTGATCTGCTGTTGAACCATGTCAGGAGGAACTTTTAAAAAAAATCAAGCATCAAGACACTATACAGTTTCTCTATTATTTTGATGTTTACTTATATATGATTTAGTGCCAAGTGTCTTTCCTATACATTTAATGCCTGCAGTAGATGTGCTTTATACATATGTTTATTCTGGAATGAGGACTGTAAGAATCTAGTCTTTGTGAAGGGATGGGACTGAAGATACATCCATGTTTGAGGTGATGAATATCCCAGTTACCCTGATTTGATCATTACCTCTTGTATACATATAAAAATCACATATTCCCCCCAAATATGTGCAACTATGATATGTCTACCCAAAAGGTTCTGTCAAAAAAAAGAAATAGAGTTTAAAAAATAAGTTTGGAAAAAATTTTGACTTTATGAAAATCCGTTGATAGCTGCAGAATGAGGGAAGCATTCAGAAGAGGATAATGGAAGAGAAGTGGTATTGCAGGAGTACACCTAAGATATGAAGGACAGAGATGATGGTAGTGTCAAATTATCTTGGTGTTTAGATTCCCATGGGCTATATTTTAAAAAGTAATATAATTTTTTTTTTGAATTTTAAATGTCAATATTTATATTGCACCAGAAATTGTATCTTTGGTAACCATTTAAACTTAATATAGAAAAAAAATCAGAAGTCAATCGAGTGTTTGAAGATGTACAAAATTGTTCAGAATTATTCGGAGTCATAAGGCAAATAAGCATGAAGAGCAGTTTAAATAGTTAACCTTTAATTTTTTTTTCCAGTTTTGAAATCCTGTGATTCAAGACACCTGTGTTAGCATTTATTTAAAAATACACAAAGAAATTCTTAGGAGTTGGGAAATTTGTCTTTGTTTTCTTCTTTGAACTCATATTTCCATACTTCTCTTGTAAACTTTTACCCTAATGCAATATACTTTTGTATTTCTGAAAGTATTTTATTGGTCACCTATCATATATCTCTGCAACAAAAATATATGTAGAAATTAAAATTTAGTTATTTTTAGTTTTCTGACAATAAGGTTCTAAGTTTCTTCCATATTTAGTTTTATGAAAATTATTAGTAGTACATAATTGATCAAAACAACATAATATAAATTTTGATAAATACTTATTAAAGGTAAAAAGTAAACCATACTGAAAATGAATCCCTTAATAAAAAGAATAGCCTATTCCTGGATAAATATTAATTATTATCAGGTTGAGGTGAGATTCAACATCAATTATATTCATATTTTTATATTTTATATATATGTAAGCATTGAGAAAGCTTGTTATCATAAATAAGTAGATAGAAATAGAAGGAGTTTTAGTAGAGCAATGTCATTCAATTCTTTGAACTCCTTCCAAGTTATGTGCCAAAAATCCTTCTAGTAATATATCATCAAAAATATTTTTAATTATCTGTCAGCTGACAATTCAATTAAGTTCTCTTCCATTTGGATCCTGATTTGTGAAATGATTTGTCACCCTGTTATTAGGGTTATTTTCTTGCTCAATTTATAGAAAGTATATTAAAAAGGCTTTGTTGAGATGTATCCAATAACTTTTATTAATTTTGGTACACATCTACTAACAAATGCAATAGTTTTGATTAAATGCTTTCTTTTCATGCACTTTAGATACACTATTGTCAAAATCTCAGGACTACAGGATTAATTTATGGAAAATATTTATCATTTGCCTATTTGGCAAAGCCCATCATCATTTCAAACCAATCAGCCAAATAGATTTACTGTCTGTCAGAAAAATTCTGACTTCATTTCTTAATTCAAATACAGGTATTAATATGCATCTTCATGAAACCCTCTCACATGAGAGTTCTAAGAGAGAGAGTCATGACATAGAGACCTGATAAGACTTTATTGGTAGGATGAAATAAAGCAATTTTGGAGTTGTGTAAAAGATAAGCATCTTGGGTGAAAATGTCTTAGGATGCGTAAAACAAAAGTAAAGAGATATTAGTCCTAGTCGAGGATACCTCTAGATTTCCTAGAGGCTGGGCTCCCAAGGCTGACAAAAAAGAGATAGGCACATCATAAAATCAGATACTCTTGAAGGGAGATTAGGTCTTAGAAATAAGCATGTGACAATCTGAGAGTAAAATCACTAATTATTTTAAGGAAAAAAATAAAGGAAAGAGAAACAAAGAAATCAATGACACTTTACAGGAAATGTGATTAATTCAGGTTTTAAAGGACTCAAAAGTTGGAATGAGGAGGGCCTTGTTACATGCATTGAAAAAGTGGCAGAAGTCTGGAAGAACATCAAAACAGATGAAAGTGAGCAGAGAATTGTGAAAAAGACTGCTACAGAGGCACAAGATGAACACGTTTCACTAGATGCTTCATCTCTTGGATGAAAGATACAACTCAATTTGACCTTTTTTCTTCCATGTTCAAAAGCAGGAAAGTTACTTTTCCAGCCGAAAAAGTAGAATTGAAGTCTAAAATATGCTAATCTCTTTTACATGAAATCATCTTAATTTTAATTAAATTATCCTATAGTTTACTGAAAGGATTTACAAACACAATTGCAGAATTTCCATCAGTAATATTTAAGAAATAATAGTTAATATGAATGGTACCACACTAAGAGACTGACAATTTTCTAAAAAATGTATCATGTCCAAAAAATTGGGTGTTGATATACTTGATGACAATATTAGAAACTTTTTAGAACTAAAAACTATAATAGTTGACTTATGACCTCTTAAAAATGCTTCTTATCTCTCTCTTTTTCTCTCTCTTAGATCAGCCAGAATCTCCGGGTATAAAACACAGGGAACCAGATATCAGCTCAAGGAAGGACGAGTTTTCTTAAAATTTACAGTGGCCCAAATTTGGACCATCAGTAATAACTGCATGTTCTCAGTGTATGTAGTGGACTGAGGCCAAAGCAGAACCACCACCACAGCCTGAAGAGTCCTTTAAGAAATTCTCTTATTGGGCGGGGTTGGGATTAAGTGATCTCAAATTTCTGTTTTAATCCTGAGTTCCTAAAATTCTACACATCTGTCTTGGGTGAATGGAATAGACCAGCTTACAAAACACAGATCCATTTCACTGTCTTCTAGGTTTCACCCATTATTGGTATGAGATGGGATGAGGTCTAGAGGAGTATGGAAGCTCATGTGAGCATCCTTACTGAGGGGAGAGGACTTGCTGTCTGCACACCCTGGGCTGTGTGGTTCTCAGAATGAGCCACCTGGAAGGTCGATCCAAGTACATGAAGATTGGATTTTCTGGTGTCCAGAGTAACCTCTTCACTTTGGGTCTCTGGCAGGCCCCTATTCCCTTTATGGATTTGGAGGCCAGGACACTTTCGGAAGTGCCTGAATCATTGACAAAATCTGTCCTTTTTTTCTTGTTTTTGCTTGATGCTACTATGTCTGTCCCTGACTTCTGCTGAAAAGCTAGTTATGCATTTCATTGATCATTCCTTGTGTGGATACCTGTATTGGCTTTATTAACAATGTGTTTATGGCCTTCAGTTTCTTCCTTATGGGAAAGAGGGACTCCAACTTCTCTCAACATTTAAATATATGGACGTTCTGCTGTATTCTCTCTCTCCTTCATGGTGAAAAAAAGGGGTGCTGAAGGGTTTGTAGGAATTCATTAGTTTTCCAGAATAAAAATTGTTTGAAAATTGCAGGCCGTGGTAGAAGCAGGTATGGAGTTCCTTACAAGATAATTCTAAGAGGTGTGTGTGTGTGTGTGTGTGTGTGTGTGTGTGTGTGCATGTGCATGTTGAGATGAGTGGTTTCAGGCATCCATTGAAGTTACATTTTTGTGTGTGCTACAGACGTCACAGAGCAATCTCTTAGCTTCCTTTATTTACAAGCCAGGAACTTCAGCTGTTTTATTAAAGACTGGATGTGAACGCTGAGGTGCTTTGCCAACAAAGACATCAAAGGGACACAAGTGCACTTTTCCCATATGTTTTAGTTAGTTTTTCCCTGCATGTCTGATATCAGTCAGAGAGAGTGCTAGAATATAATACCTCACACCTTGAAGATTAAACACCTTCTCAGCTGGTATTTCTGTTTTGACTTCATTTGCTGCCACCTTATATCATAAGCACCCTGCACCATGTCATAGACACTGTTGGTTCTGTCTATGCAATGAGATTGTGTTTTTCAAAAGCGTTTTTTTCTGCAAGTAAGTAAACTCTGCCTGGTCTTTGATGTGAGCTTAGTCACTGAATGAATAGCTTTGTTGGACAATGAGATAAGATTATAATAGAGTCTATAATAATGATGCCAATCACAGATGGCAGGAAGGCTGTTATTCTTAGACTGTTGTATTTGTAAATCATGCTAGATTTCCCATGACAATCTAAAAATGCCACCTTGTTAGTGATTGAGGTTTATATTTTAAGTTCCCAAGAAAAATATTCCAGAAAGAACTTCCTACTCTTCTTTACTGTGTAATAAATAAGTTCCAGGAAGGACTCACATCATTGCAGGAATTACCCAGGGGGCATTTTTACTTCTTCACCTGACCCTGTAACAGGCAGGCAGTTGTCACATTCACTTATATGTAAAATGATTCTTACTTGTATTGAAGGTTATATATTTATTTTCTGTAGTTTTATTTTTACCTAAATTGGAAGCACATATTCTGTTATGGGCCAGGGAGTTGGAGTATGGAAGCTCAGGGGTTAGGGCACAGGCTTATTAGGAAGAAGCAGCAAGTCTAGGGACCAATTAGAGGTGAGGCATCAGAACTTACACTTGGAGGTAGGTATTAAAAGGAAAAAAAAGAAAAGACAGTGTTTCTAAACATTCTTAACTTCTTGGATTTGGTATCTTCTTAAGGGCAAAACACTAAGGCATAGAAAAATCAGAATTCATGTTTCGTTTGTGTTATACCTTCAGAAAAGTTTTATGTTTTTATCTCAGAAAGTGGCTTCTCAAATTTTGGTTTTAAAATTTTCTGTTTACTTCCAGGTCCCTTCTCTATACATCCCTGTGACTAAAAAGCAGAATATGTGCCACTGTGTAGCTAGAATAGCAAAGGAACTGTGGAATGTTCCTCTGTAAAGAAATGACCTTTTTCAACCATGTTCCTATAGACGATGGTCTGAGTGCAGTGTCCTATCCAGATTCAGTGTTAAAATCCTAACCTTCAAAGTGATAGAAGTAGGTGGTGGGGCCTTTGGGAGGGATTAGGTCACAGGGGCAAAGCCCTCATGATTGGGATTAGTGCCTTTATAATAGAGGCCCGAGAGAGAACTCACTACCCTTCCATTATATGAACACACAGTGAGAAGGCACTGTCTATAAACCACAAAGCAGGCTCTCATTAGACATAGAATCTGCTGGTGCCTTGATCTTATACTTCCCAGCTTCCAGAGCTATGAGAAATAAAGTTCTGTTGTTTATAAGCTATTCAGCTTATAGTATTTTGTTACAGCAGCATGAACAGACTAACACACTATGTAATAGCTGACTATGAGAATGAGAATCTAAAAGCTAGGAATGGTAGCTTTATAAACACCACTTAAATGAGTACTAGCATTTAAAAGGAAATTTTAATGAGGTGGTAAAGAAACAATCATCGAATTTAGACTTAGAAAGAACATCAGATTATTTTGCTCAATCATTGCAGTTTAAAGATAAACAAAATGAACATCAGAGAAATTGCAAATTGTGTCACAAGTTTTGTTGAACAAGTAAAATCCTGGTCTCTTGAATGTCATTGCTGGACTTTCTTGAGTATACTTGATATCTCCTGTAATGTAACTGTTCATACCCAAATCTACCTATTTTGTAATAGATATAAGATTTTTTTCAAACCAAAAAATGTCTTTAATCACAAATTGTCAGTCGTAATGAGGTAGCAACTAAAATCTAATACATGACTATTTTTCTCTATCAAAAAAAGTTCTGAAAGATTAAACTCATATAAAAGAATAGCATATTATAAGATGATTTATTTTGTATTGTAATTTTTAATTGTAAAAACGTTCACAGCTATTCTCATGTATTTTTCATTAAAAAAACTTGCAAAGTAAGTGGCTATTAGCTGTGTTTTACAGATAAGAATCCTGAAGGTCAAAATTTAAAAGATACATTTAAGATAATAGGACTAAGTGTCATGCCCAGGTCTTGGTCTTCTGACTCAAAATCCTGTGTTCCTTTCACTGCCTCGTAGTTTGCTCTTTAATGGATAATTGACCACCCTTCTTTACTTCATTGGTTATCTATTAAATTGCATTTCATTTCAGGAAATAATAATGAGAATCATAAAACCAAACAAATTGTAGTAGGGAATTTCTAAAATAATACTGCAACCGAGGAAACACATCTAGAAAGACTAATACGGGGAAGTGTACTCTTCTGGCAACTAGGAGGGACAGAGGCGTTGACATGCTGGAGTCAGCTCACACAGGCTCGCAAGAACTGACAAAGTTTCAGCAATTTTGCTGTTAAACTTAAATTATATAAACAATTGAACATTATGTTAAAAACAAAGGTAATAAATACTCAAGGCTTGTCCTTTCATACTACATTTTACGCTTATCTATGCTATTGGTGTTATTTACATCTATTGTGTCTGTATGTATTATATGTATGTCTTATAATGGTGTGCTGCTCTTCTCAGTGTGGTGTGGGTAGTTTGAAATGGATCATGATGGAAATATTAATACTATAAAAGTCATGAATGCTATAAATTATTGTTTTCTTCATTATCTAGACTTTAAAATTATGGACAAAATATTAACAATATGGATTAATCTTAAAATTGTATTGTGTTTGTAGCTGTTACATTGGAAGTAGCATATAAATGTAAGAAAATATTCTTCTAGTATTTGAAAACTCATATAATTTAGCAAAGTAGTTGTACACATCATCGAAAGCTGAGTGACAATGAGCAGTGACAATGAGTGGTGAACCCAAAATAACAAAGCAGACTGACTATTGATACATGGGATAATAGTCAATGGTTATAGTTCATAGAGAAAAGGTTAAATGATTATTTAAAAGGGAATAGGGGGCTGGGCACAGTGGCTCATGCCTGTAATCTCAGCACTTTGGGAGGCCAAGGTGGGCGGATCATTTCAGCTCAGGAGTTTGAGACCAGCCTGAGCAATATGGCAAGGCCCTATCTCTTTAAAATAAAATAAAAGGGGATAAGGTATAATATTTTAAGGAGAAAACCACAAATGTGGATCTCTTTGTTATCCATATATGAATATCTGCCTCTTGTACTGAGATCAGGATATACTTATAGTGAGATCTCTGTAACTTTCTGCTTAATGCAATTTCCTGTATTAGGTGATTGCTGATTTATTTATCTGAAGTAACTCTTTCCCTGAAAGCCCTAGATTACTAATGTTGTGCTCTTTTATTTTTTAAAATTTTACTGTCAACTTACTGTCTGATTGTTTTTCTAGATATTTATGTATGTTATATGATATATAACTATTTGCAATTAAAGTGTAGAAATAATTTTTATTCACATGGAACATATTTGTCATGGAATATATCTTACTGAGTTTTAAAAGTAGTTTACCAAATAATACAATAACATGTTTGTTTAAAAATATGTATGCAAAGAAAAATATCTGGCATAAAAAGAATTTACCAAAAAATTAGTGTGATGATTAATCTGGGTGGTGAGTTTATGGCTTGTTTTTATTTTATTGTATTTGCTCATCTCTATGTTTCAATTTTTCTACAATGAGCATTTCATATCAATATGGAGTATTCCATACCAACATAACCAAAAATAAAACAAAATCTTCATTCTGATGTTTCTGATGAACACAATTGAGAAGAACAAATGGGATCTATCACATAAAAGTCACTCAGGAGCAATAGTGTGTGTCCTCTTGCTGCCTGGATGCCTCTCTAACCCTCTGCCTACCTGGCTGCCCTGAGTATCACAGTATCTTTGAGGAGATGATGGACTATTGCACCTCAAATCAATCAAATTCTTACCTGGATGAATTTTCTAAAAGATGGGAACAAAAATCTGAACAAAAATGGGAACATTAATCTTCCCATCCCCACAGGACTCTTCTAGAAGTTTCCAACTCTTATGATAAGCAGTCAAACAAAATAAATAAAATAAAAAGAGAATAAGAAATAACCTTGTGAAAGCTGTCAACAGTTTTGTGGACGAAGTCTTTCATCTGGGCTCTTCAAGCAAACGTAACTCTAAGCTTTTTAATGATTATTCAGTATCCATGTGGTACTATCAGTGACAATGATAGGGATATAAAGTGCTCTCAGCATTACGTTTCTTATAGATAAATCTTGAAAAGTACAAGAAGTACTCATCAGATATTACCTGTGAGACACTCACACAAGTGAGAGCATAACCCAGGAATATAATCCGCCTGAGACAGCACTTAACTCCAGGTAAGAGATAAATGACATAACCAAGAATGCATATGGTTCTTGAGAAACTTTTATCATTCTCCTTTATTCGCACTTTCTTTTTTCAGAGAAAACAAGATCGCAGACTTCAAGTTTTTTTCTCATAGCTCCTATGGAGCACTCTGCAGTCAGCCATTGTGTTTATATTAATGAGAAGGTAGAGGAAGACTCTTGGGTTTATATCACTGTGAGATTATTAATTCCTTTAATATCCTTGTGATTTGCTGCATTTAGAAAATTGATAAATCATTTATGTTACATTGTTATGAAGCTTTAGGGGTAGTAGGCTAATTATTGGTCACATGCATAGGATAGCTGATTAACTGACATAAAGCCACGTATCTCAGAATGTAGGTCGTTTCCAAATGTAAGCAAATTATATGATTGTATAATTTTAATATAACAAATATTTTGATGACTTTTTATTGATTAGCAAAGAGGAAGTATAAATCCAAAATCATTGAAAATCTTGTCTTAGGTTTCTTTGCAGAAGTTTCTACCCTTCTCATTCTCTTTTAATTTTTATTAATGTTTTGCTGATGAGCCAGTTGGAAATGGATTTTCAGTAGTGATGCAAGTTACTATTGAGAAGGCCAAAAGCAAGCATGGTCCATATTCTCTTCTTGTTCTTTTCCTCAGCTTACTTGCTTTGTTTTTCTGTTGCTTTCTTTGTATCTGCTTTTCTGTCTTTCTTTGATGGATTTTTGTTCTCCTCTGACTCTTCGATCCATTTCTTTTTATTTTCTCAAGTGTCCCTCATGTGTACATCTTATTCTCCCTACTGCTTTTTCCCATGATGATTCTCATTCCCCGACTTCAACACCTCAAGGTGCTGTTTTCCCATTATCTCCTCCTTGCAGTGCCTAGTATCCCCCACCATCTCTCTTCTTTCTGACCTCCAAGTAATCATTTTGACACTTTTATCCCTGTGTGAATTTGAGACTCATTGGGGTTTGTCTCACATTGGCAGCAGAGGAGAGTTTTATTTAGGGCATGGGACATGAGGTGCAGTGAATGCCTCTCATCGACTGTTTAGCCGAGATCTGGCCTCTTGCGAGAACCAGGAATCAGTCAGAGAGAACCCGGAATCAGTCAGAGTTCATGAGAGGGGAGTTTCGAGTGTAAAGGTCATGGTGATATATGAGGTCTGCTTTGGTAGGTTGGGTGATGCTGAAGGAGTGGACACTGTGCGGATTTGTAGGTCTTGGGCCCTATAGATGGGTTTTAATGCTGATGAACAAGACGCTGATTATAACAGGGCAAAGTTATAATCCCTGTCCACTCCATCATTCAATTTATGCTATATATTGTTGTCAAACTAATTCACCAGATTTGCTGCCTTAATCGCAATCTCTCGTCTCTTGAAACTTCTTCAGAAACTCCAGTTACTGTGCCACGCAACCCTCAACTCCTCAAGCATCTTAGTCAACGCTAAATGAAAGCCTCAAGCATCTTAGTCAACACTAAATGAAAGCCCTGACCTCTCTCTGTGCCCCCATTTCAACTTTTCTTCCTTCTCCCACTCCCACTCTTTGCATATATTTATTTAACATTTTCTCCCAGACTCTCCTTATTTTTAGAGAGACTCAGTCCAGCTTTTCCAGCAGGATGTACCTCATTTGTACAGCCCCACTCATTATCCCCAGGTTTTCAATGTCCTTGTTAAAGCTTAGCTTCAAGCTTATGTTTTTCTTACACATTTTAATCCCATTTTTTCTCTTTAGTATATAAGCTGTGTGCATAAACTCTACACCGATTTTGCCTATGTCTAATAAACATTACCTTTTAAGGAGGACATAACTTCACTTTAAAATTTTTTTATGATTGAAACAATTGTAGTACTTCTGTGTGTAAATAACAGTACTACAGAAGACAATGATCTTAAAAGAATTTTATAATATCACGTTTAATTTTTAAGGAATTAATATTCTTCCTACTCATGCTCCTTTTTCATAAAAAGTGTTGGGAATAATCACATTATTCTTTGGCTAGGCTTACATCCAAAGTCTTATTTTCCAGTCCTACTTTTAAATGCCTCAAGGGAGTATCTTCAGGAGTGTTCTCTTGGTGGAATGGTACAATAGTCCTTGAGGTTTAGACCACTTGCCTCTCTCTAGGAGATGTCAGGGGCTCTTTTCATGTGTTTAAATGTCTTTTGTTTTTGTTCTGTACTATAATTTCCTGGCTCAGTTTTTGGACACTCTCTTTAAAGTCAAAATCAATGGGATATTTCAAGTACCCTAATTAATAGTTTTTAGGAAAAGCTGAGGTTTTGGGCCCTTATTACACACATAAATAGATATGTTTTCTGTAACTTCTATGTCCTTCTCATAGAGACTGAACAGCCACTGCTAAGTGTGCAGCTACCCATGTGACACTCACTGAAAACTAGCCACAGCTTGAGATCAGCCATCTACATTTGGCCAACCAGATTCCCTCTCCTAAAATTTGAAATTGGGACGCAGGGATTCTCCCTTGTCAGTATTTGAATTTATAAAGGATGTTAAGCCAGAACTGGAAGCGAGCCATTGACTCATGTGTAAATGGATAGATAAATTTGGACAACATGGAAGGAAAACAATAGAGATACAAAGCTAGAAGCAGAGATAAGACCTTGTGGTGTGATAGGTAGAGACAAGAATAGGCAAAGAGCAAGAGAGGCAAAGAGAGACAGATACACACAGAAATGGGAGAGACATATAGAGACAGACTTAGGGAGAAGGAGAGAGAGAGGAGAGATGGAGAGAGAGAGAGGAGAAAGAGAGATAGAATAGTTGCCTCAAATCCTAACAACTTCGCAGTTCTTGATTCCAAAATCCCTTCCCCTACTAAGACAACAGAGGTAGAGCCCCTTCCTTGTGCTGAAGCCAGGTTGAATTGGTTCTATTCCTTGTATCCAAATGATTCTACCATAAGATAAAGCCTACCCCTAATCTATGCATGTCTAACTCAGAATAGCTTGCATCATAACTGTTCCATGTTCCTACTGTCAATTATGGTTTCATAGGTTCTGTTTCTGCAGTTAACAAGTTGTCAAAGTTGGCAGTCAGTATCATATTAAATCAGCAATGAAGACTTTTTTGTTAAATGATATTGAAACATTGTCATCAATTTTTGTAACTTGTTGGCTGGGCGCTCACGCCTGTAATCCCAGCACTTTGGGAGGCCGAGGCAGGTGGATCAGTTGGGGTCAGGAGTTCGAGATCAGCCTGGCCAAAATGGTGAAACACGTCTCTACAAAAAACACAAAAATTAGCTGGGAGTGGTAGTGCATACCTGTAATCTCAGCTACTTGGGAGGCTGAGGCATAAGAATCACTTGGACCCGGGAGGCAGAGGTTGCAGTGAGCCAAGATAGTGTCACTGCACTCCAGCTTGGGCAACAGAGTGATACCCTGTCTCCAAAATAAATAAATAAATAAAAAATAAAAGTAACTTGTAGTGCTTTATTAAATGTATTGGTTAATCAAAATAATTCACCAGTGTGTAAAGAGAATTGTCTAAAAATAAGTAACATTAACAATGACAAAGACCCAAATGGTGGTCCATCAGGTTCCAAAGCATCTATGTTGGTGTGTTTTTCATTAAACTAACCTTACTAATTTGCTTTAAACCTAAGCAAATAAGCAAATTAAACAAATAATTACTTACATTGTCACACTAATTTAATATTTTAAAATATAATTTCATTGGTTTTGTCATTTTGCTATAATTTAACTTAAAAAATTGCTTAGGTACTTTCACTGTATAAGAGCTATATATAGAAGGACTTTATACCCATTTTTATGTCAGTACATATATAAGTAATATTAGTAAAAGAATTTAATATTTGTTTTTCTAATATTTTCCCTCAAAGAAGTTCCATACATTATTCGAATTTGAGAAACATTGAATTAAGAAGTTGTTTTTCTAAATGAAAGTTTATTATTTTTAATTCACTATACTTTTTCAATTTTTGGTAATATTCCCAGATTTATCCATGTATACTTAATGTTTTCTTATCTTATGGTAGGCTTTTTTAAGGGTCAAATAAATTTAGATGAGTTTTATTTTGAGCAGTTATAAATTTTCTGTCTGCATTTTTTTTCTCAGTAGATTTCAATCTCTTCTCCAAAAAGCAAGAGGTAGTTGGTCAATTTTAGTTCGAACGCTGTATCGGTGAGGCCAAGCTTGTGGTGTGAAGATAGGGAACTACGTCATTTCTCTATGGTTTCTCACTGCCCACGGCTGCTGGCCAGAACTCCTGTGGATGCTGCACTAAGATTCATAGGAACACTGGATGCAAATAATCCATCTTAGCCTCATGTAATACAACTCACGTTGTTAAACCAAAAACATCATTTTTGCCTTTACAGCTGAGTACATCACTGGACTAAACAGAAAATGGATACAAATAGCAAAAGCAGAATGCGAAATCATCATACATAATTTAGAAAGAGGCAATACTTACTTTTAAATCCTCCCCAAGCCCCCATATAATTTTTCACTTAAGGTGTAAATTAACTTCTGGGGAAAAATATCTACAAGCTCTGAAAAAAAGTTTGAGGAGACTCAAAAATAGACCCACTTCCCTGTGGATCCTAGATAAATTTACCTTAACAGTTTGTCCCGGTACACACACACACACACACACACGCACACACACACAGAGTTGACCCTTGAGCAACACAGGTTTGAACTGTATGGGTTCACTTATAATGTAGATTTTCTTTTGCCTCTGCCACCCCTCAACAAAACCAACCTCTCCTCTTCCTCCTCCTTAGCCTATTCAATGTGAAGATAATGAAGATGAAGATCTTTATGATTGATGATCTACTTCCGCTTAATGAATAGTAAACATATTTTCTCTTTCTGATTTTCTTTTCTCTAGTTTAAGAATACAGATTAACACTTTAAGATTAATACTTTAAGAATACAGATTTAATACATATAACCTACAAAATATGTGTTAATCAATTGTTTATGTTCTCAATAAGACTTCTAGTCAAGAGTATCGATAAGGCTTCTGGTCAGGTTAGGTGTTTGGGGAGTCAAAAGTTTTATGCAGAGTTTTGACTGCACAGAGGGGTTGCTACCTCTAATTCTCACATTGTTCAAAGATCAACTGTATATATTTCAAGGAATTGGCTATGTGATTGTGGGTTGGCAAATCTGAGGGCAGGCCCTCAGGCTGGAAACTCTGGGGCAAGAATTCATGCTGCAGTCTTGAATCAGAATTTCTTCTTCTTTAGAAACATCTTAGTTTTGTTCTTAAAGCCTTTCCAGTGATTGAATGAGGCCTACTCACATTATGGAGGATACTCTCCTTTACCTAAAGTCAATAGATTGTAGATGTTAACCAGATCTACAATAGACCTCCATAGCAACATCTAGATCACTATTTGTTTGAATAACTGGACGCTATAGCCTAGCCAAGTCGACACACAAAACTAACCATCATAGTTCCTAAATCTGATCAGAATCTTCCACATGCCCACAGGTAGTAGCTCAGTTTTCCTCTTATATGCTCTCATATTCCCCAAGAAAGGAATTTATATTTGCTTCAACTTCTGTACCCAAACATTCTTCTCATCACTCAGTGGCTCTTAGCCTCCATGCTGTAGTTGTCTTTAGATCTCAGGTGCTCTCCTGAAATTCCTGACCCTCTGATAAAGATATTCTTCCAGTGGTGCTGATGACTCCTTGTTCTATGAAATCTCCTTTCCACACAACCTATTCTGCACTCTCTTACCTCTGCTAGAACTTTGGCAAGTTATACTTTTTACCTCATGTGGTGACTGTAACCTTTATTCCCATAGAATTTGAACTCTTTCTGGCTTTTAATTGAGGTCGTGTAGACTCCCATCAAACATAATTATGGATGTAATAAGAGGCACGCCAGTGAATCCAGTGGATTCCCCATATAACCTCCTTGTCCCTAACCTGTAGCAGCAACACAAGCACCCTTGGCTATAGGAATAGGTCACCCCAATAGTACTAATAGCCACCTTTCTGCCCGTCAATTCAGTGGCATAAGAGCTCCAAATTAGTAGGAGGTAGATTTAGCTTCCAAAGTAATGGAATTGTGACTTTGTTCTCAGTTAGAAGTATTATTTTCTTAGGAACTCATAATTCCAAATTTTTGAAACCCAAGGGTAAAGGAACAAGACGCAAATTCTACAGCATAGAGATTTTAGGCTTAAAATTGAGGGGACACTCCCACTTCCACTCTTTGGTTCCTGGACCTGGTTATGGTTGAAGTGGGGGGACATTATTATATATTGGTCACTTGTTTAAATACCCCAAACCCCTCCTCCTCAGCTTGTGCCAGAGCTGAGCCTTCAATAGGCCATCTGCTTCCAAATGATGGGACATGTGATAAGACTAATGAATTCCATGAGCATGACTATTGCTGCATTTGTTTCATTACAAAGCGACTTTCTTGGTTGAGGGTGATATTTTGTGGTATAATATGTCAGTAGATAAAGCATTCATTTAGTCCCTTAATAAGGACATGTATTAGTTTCCCAGAGACACTGTAACAAAGTACTATAAATGGGATGGTTTAAAAGAACAGAAATTTATTCTCACACAGTTCTGGAGGCTAGTAGTCTGAAGTTCAAGTGTTGGTAAGACCATGATCTCTCAAGGGTTTAGGAGAGAATCTCTTCCATACTTCTAGCTTCTGATTTCAGTGGCAATCTTTGGAGTTCTTGATTTGCAGCTACAGAACTAAAATCTCTGCCTCTGATGTCACTTGACACTCACCCCCCATGTCTTCATACCATCTTCTTATAAGGACACCAGTCAAATTGAATTAAGGGCCCACCTTACTCCAGTATGACTTTAACTAATTATATCTGCAATGACTGTATTTCCAAATAAGGTCACACTCTGAGATATTGAGGATTAGGACTTTAACATATGTTTTGAGAGACATAATTCAAACCATGACAGAATGAATGTTAGAAGAAACATTGTGGACTGGGAGGCCAATCCATATCTAGGATTCCTGAGGACAAAATCTCTATTCCCAGATAGAAGGGATCCAGCAGGGAGCTGGCTGGTACCTTTGGGGAATGGTTCCATAGCAGACTCATCATTGGCCTCCATAATTGACAGACTTAGCACCTAGCAATTGTGATAGCCAAAGCAGCATTGGGGAGAGAAAAATCTATGTTGCTATTATTTAAATGTTTGTGTTACTTCCAAATGCATATCTTGAAACCTAATCCCCAATGTGAAAGTATTAAGGGGTAGGCCTTTGGGAGATGATGAGGTCAGGAGGGTGGAACTCTCACAAATGAGATTAGTTCCCTTATAAAAGAGGCTTGAGGGAGCTTGTTTTCTCTTCAACATGTGAGGACACACAAGAAGGCACCACCATCAGGAAAGAGGCTCTCACCAGACACCAAATCTGCTGGCCAATTAATCTTAAACTACTCAGCCTCCAGAACTGTAAGAAATAAATTTCTGTTGTTTATAAACCACTTGCTTTATGATATTTTGTTATAGCAGCCTAAATGAACTAAGACACTGATGTATAACCTGCAGGTTTACTACCACAGCCACTTAGAATGAGCACAGCATTTGCTGAGCAAGGAGGCTGAATGGCATCTACACTAAGGATCACCTCTATCAATATTAAGAGACTGTTCTGCAGTAGATGCCCTCTGGTAGGCTTTTATATATGATATGAATATTCTAATATTCCTGATACGGTTTGGCTGTGTGTCCTCACCCAAATCTCCTCTCGAATTGTATTCCCTATAATCCCCACATGTTGAGGGAGGAACCTGGTGGGAGGTGATTGGATGAGGGCAATTTACCCTATGCTGTTCTTGTAATAGTGAGTGAGTTCTCACAAGATCTGATGGTTTTATAAGTGTTTGACAGTTCCTCCTTCCCACGATCTCTCTCTGGCTGCCATGTAAGATGTGCCTACTTCCCCTTCAGCCATGATTGTAAGTTTCCTGAGGCTTCCCCAGCCATGCTGAACTGTGAGTCAATTAAATCTCTTTCCTTTATAAATTACCCAGTCTTGGGTATTTCTTTATAGAAGTGTGAAAACAGACTAATGCAATTCCATAACCATTTGGAGAAATCTGTCCACATGTCTTGTCCCCAGAACACCTTGCCACCAATTCTTGCTTTTCCAAGTCACTAATGAAATGGACATCCCATTAGCTTTTCCCTGGAGTCATTGTGGATCCATATAGTAGACCATCTATCCCTCCACAGGAAGTGGAAAAACAAATATACTGCCTGAAATTCTGTCCACTGGGAATATTTCCATTTCAGACTAAATTTCAGACTGCTACAAGTGGGTCTAGAGTGTAGCAGCTGTTCATTTCTGGATGGAGTTAACATCTGTCAAACAGGCAATTTTTCCTCCTTGCTAATAGTCATAGGTAACTTCGTAGCCATGGTTTGAGGAACTGCCTACACAGCAGTAGGAGTAGATACTTTGAAGTCTGATTCTGTTCAGAGGAGTTATTTGAGTTTTCTGGATACCCTTTGTCCCTGTTAGGTATATTCCATTCCTATTTAATAATTTGATGCTGCTGCACACATCTACTTTTAGGTTTTCTTTTGATCAGATGATATCCAATTCATGATGAGCAGCTCAGGTCATATAGTCTCCTGGTTGCTGTGCTCAGGGGTTATTATTTGGTTGTACCAAGATCCAGTAGCAAATTAGGAACAGCTTTAAAGTGGAAATAGTTGTTTGCAGAACAGAGTTTGAATTTACTCCAAAATATTAGGGTCTACATTATGTTTTTCCTATAGAGGCATATTGGGGGCTCCAAAGGGTGCCTCTATTTGTGACAGAATTCAAATACCATTTAGATATGCTAGCTTATGATGTCTAATTGATGGGACAGCTTTTACCACAACCTGGACCTATTGCTATCCCTCTTTTGCTCTGGGCAACATTCAAAACTGGTATCCTTGTGGATTACTCAGGAAATGGATAACAGCAGTGTTCCCAAATGTAGCATATGCTTCCTCTAAAGTCAAAAGACATGTTAAATGAGGTGCCTCATTCTTTATGGTAGGAAGTTCAAGGTGCAGTTAACTGCATTTCAGAGGGGATATCCCACATGATCTATAACAAAGGATTCCCAGAATCTTTGAATTTGGCAGAATCCCAAATCTTCATGGTATTTGGGCAGAATTCCAAAGCTCTGTGGGTTTTATTTTCTACACACTAAATCACAAGTGTCTTACTAAGGCATCTAGGTGTTTGCAACCTCCTGCTTATCAGGTCTAATTAATATAATGTCTTCACTGTAATGGATGAGATGTTTTCTGAGATTTCAATGTAATCAAGATTTCTCTGGACTATATTATGATAGAGATCAGGAGAGTTGATATAGTCATGAGATAAGACACTGAAGGTATACTTTTGTTCCTACTATTTAGATAAAGATGAATTACTTCTTATTTGTCCCTAATTCAGATAGGGAACAAAACAAAATAAAATGAAATCATTTTCTAGGTCAATAACTCATCTCAGCAGCCAGCAGCCGTGTTGGTGGTACCGATATTTCAGGGTCATTCTAAAGTATCCATTTGGCTTTTGTATCAGCCAAACTAAAGAGCTAAATGAGGATGGGATAGAAATCAAATCACCATTCCTGTTTCTTTCAATCCTTGATAGTAGCACTAGTTTCTGCAATTTTTCCCCCAGGGATATGATATTGCTTTCTGTTTATTATTTGACAGGGAAAATTCCAGGGGCTCCAGTGGGCTCTTCTCAACATAATGACATCAATGGCATCAGTCAGGAAACCGATGTGAGGATGTTTCTAGTTGCTAAGTATGATTATTTCAGGTAGTCAGCCATGAACACAGAAAATAATGACTAGGAAGGGAGGTAGCCCATCAACCACTCTAAGACAGATATAGGCCAAGACTCCATTCATTTATTTTATGACTTTGTGCCCATACTAATTAGTGCTAAATTGGGGCAATAACTAATGGCTCCTAGGTAGTATCATTACTTTTCTTTCCTAGTTCACTCTCACCTTGTTAAATGGCCATGGGTTCTCTCGGGGAAGGCTCGGAGGAAGAATTACAGTGTATCCTTGTGTCTACATTTCAGGGTGATTCCTTAACAGAAGCTAGCCTCCATCTCAGAAGGCTCTGGGTTTATGAACGGGGTATGAGGTCATGAACTCCTACTATAGCACTTTGATTTGATGTATTGCCTACTAGAAGAAGAAATGGTCTGATAACATAGACCAAGTAGTATTTTAGAAGGCTGACAATCTGTTTCATTTGTAAGGTCCTCCTAAAAATGTTAGCCACAATAAAAAAATCCATGTGGGTCAAAACACTTGTATTACCATTCTGTCCTTGTGGTTTGTTGGGGGTAATTGTTCCAGTCTCATGCCCAAAACTGAGCACTGCCACCTGGCCTCTAACACTTCAAGACCCCATAATTCTCATTAAGATTAGAGAGCCCAAATTTTCGCAGCATCTCTGGTCTACAGAAAGTAGTCATCACAGAACTCTTAGGAGATGTGATTGCTTAATACCAAAGTATTCTTATTGCTTTGGAGAAGGAAGTATTCTTCAACCTTTTTGTAGCTATAGTGATGGTGTGTTGGAATAAGTTACATAGAATGGATTCACTCCAGAATGTTCACCTCCCTATGCCTTTGGATGTTCCTCTTTGTGCCAGAGTAGTCCCAGCATCTCAACCTCATTATTGTAGGTCACCACTGAGCACAGGTTTCACCAAAGTGTTAGAGCCCATCCCAGATTCTTCCACTGACAAATTATATCTAGAATTTCAGGTGAGTTTTCTCATATTAATAAATTCTTCCTGAACTAATCTCATATTTTTCTCTCCTTGATTTAACCCCTTCAGAATAAATTTCTAAACACACTTTTCCAGTTGTCAATGTCCTAACACATCTCTGGTTTAGAATGTATCGCATCCTTGAGGATACCTTGCACTTCTCCTTCTTGCTATGTAAGCAATGAGTGATGATTGGGGTTAACCTTGAGAATGAGAATCTCCTTGCAAGGTAAGTGCTGCTGATGAAGTCACTGAAAGTAGTTTTTGCAGACAGGTTGGAGGATTGCTTCAACTCCCAAAAAAGATTCACGGGCCTCTAAGAATTTAAGTTAAGGACCCCATCTCAAGTCTCTGGGGTCCTCTTTTTCCAACTAGTGGCTCATTATAACAAGTTTCTAAGGTTACAACTGGGTCCCTGTTTACAATGTACTAGGACCCTGAGACTTGACATGGGCTAGTAACCCTAATTTTTTCATGAACTTTTGAAGCCCACTGAATTGATATATTTACCAACATTGAAACTCTGCTCATACCATCACATCTTGGTCCTGATCATCAATTATGTTTGTTCTGCAGATATACAAGACAAGGGATACATTTAAAGCTGATTAGTTCTCCCTCATGCTTTGAGTTGAGTATTAAAGGCACTAAGCTGATATTTTTATTTTTGTAAGCTCTTTAACAGAGTGAGAAGCAGCCTGTAATCTTTATTACTATAGTGATCAAATGGCACACACATAATCTTCCAAAGCATTGCTCTCCACTGATTACTCTATACGCCCTCTCCCCAAACCCCAGCAAGGAAATCGTCTGTATATTATAAAATAATATGTGTGGAATCCACACTAGAATTTTAACGTGAGGGGCTGTTTCTTGAGGCTACTCCTGGTACCAATTCGCGCATTGCCAGGGGCCCAGCAGGAGACAGAAGGCACACTAATGGAATTCTGAGGAGAATTTAATGAGTGTACTAGCTAGAGATATGTGGCATTTGGATTAGAAAACAAACAAGAGAAGCAGAGGGACCCCCTGACTGGCAACATCAAGGTGTTACCATTCCTAAACCTGAAGGGGTGGGGAACAGTTCACCAAAGCCCTGTGAGCCAAAGCCTTGGAGGAGGCGCTGCCTGGCAGGAGCTGAAATCAGAGAGAGTCACATCCAATGTAAGAATCCTAGCATTAAAGCAGGCATGAGCAAGCCAATAACTGGCCTGACCTCTCTCTTCCTTCCTTCTGATTCCTTGTTAGGCTTTTCATTAGCCCATGCCATGCACTCTGTAGGGTTCAGCCTTTCAGGCATACACAGAACACAGAGAGAATGGATCTGGGTCAGTGGAGAGTGGAGGGTGGCAAAGAGAATAATTTGCATGTTGTAGTGATGGTAGGAGCTGTCTATGCAGTAGTGGTGAATTCAAGGAGAGAGTCCTATTGCATTCGGGAATCCTTTTAGTATTGCTCCTTGTGGAGAATGTATTCTTTCAGGCTCATTGTATCTCAATAAGAAATCCCTTTCCATGCCATATCCTACCTTGGTATGCCAGAAATTCTTTCCTGTGGGCCTCATGGTCCCCAGGCAAATCGGGATATATGACTAGAAACCGCTTGGGTGTCTTTAAGTATTCTGACGGTGAAGGTGATTATATATGGTTGTAGCATATGAAAGCCTCCAGAGAGATCGTTGCTAGTGCACCTGAGTTCAAGCCAAGAGATCCTGTTAGAAGGTGAAGTAAAAGAAAATTAAGGTGAGCATTACTTGGAAGCAAAATTAATTTATAATATGATGTGGCAGCAGAAAAGCTGAATGTTTTTTGAAGATCTTTATGAAGAAGAATCACAGCCCTAAATATTTCTTCCCACACAATTCAGTTACAATGCTTCAGATATCACATCTGACTTTGAATGTCTGAGTAACAATAAGTTGCAGACGTTTGGTGGATTAGTAGAAAGGAAAAGTGTGCAATTAAATAAACGAAAAAAGCGTTACTGGTGAAGAAATACCTGCCTCCAAAACAGAGCGAAATAGATTGATCTCTATGCCCCAAATTATAAAAGGTGTAATGTGTTTAAGACACATATTAAATGGTATGATAGAGACTACAGGGAAAATATAACTTGGGCATGAGAATGACTACTGACACTCGGGTATCAGTAATACAATCTTTTTGGTAATACACAGAAAATCAATAATGCACAGAAGAAAACCTTGTAATACATAGATGTGTGGACGGGATGTTGATTGTAAACTGTAACTTGTTTAGTCACAGGTGTGCATTCCTTTCTATGATGTATTCCTTAACTCTGTGAATGTGAAAATTCAAACTGGGCGTAGACCTGCAAAATGAGGAAACAGGAAATTTTACTTTCTATTTCCCATAAGTAGAACAAATTTAGCTGTATTTTGCTAGAGGCAAGTTTGCTGAACTTGAATAACCTTTACATTGATTGCTATAGACATCTAGATATGATTGCAAAGCATTCTCTGTGGTGTTGCAGTTTTACACAGTGTAGGTTTTTGGTCATTGTGTCAATCTACATTGCTTGCCTCAGACTATCTCTATTTGAGAAGCTCTTTTAAATAGAAAATGGCCTTTACTTGAGTTACTGGATTTCACATTGCTATGCTGAGGGGGAGGGCATGCAAACTTCGAAGCTAGTTGAACGAAGTTGCAAACTTTGAAGTTAGTTGATCTTGCTTTCTTCACTTACTAGCTGTGTGACATTGGGCACATTTTTAGCTCCTGTAAGCTTTGGCTTTCTTTTCTGTAACAGGGGATGATTAACACTTATAGTTATGTTTTTAGGATTAAGGGGGATAATATATATAAAACATCCAACATGGCTGGCATTTAGGGAGACTCAATAAATAGAAGCTGCTGAAATTCTTCTTCATTGTCTTCTTATTTCTCAATTAAGGAATCAATATGCTTTCCCTGTGGAGTAGAGTTGTGGTACTTCCAGGATAGGGAATGTTGGTAGGGCAGAGACTTGTCTCTGTTGCCAGAGTTAGACACCATTTACCTAAAGTAGCTTCTCCATTTCTACTTCTCAGAATAGACTGATTCAGCACCCCCTGGAGACTTTAACTTCTTCCCTAATAAATGAAAAGTTTGAATCTGAAGTCAGGTAACATTTTGCCTTAAAGCATTGTCTTAAATGGATTTTTCTTTCCTGCTTTAAAGAAAGTCAGGAAAGATTTATTATAAATGCTCTCAGGAGGCCTTTTCCAAAATGCTTCCCCTTAAAGTGGTAGTCACAAAAATGAGCACTGAATGCTGCCTTGGAGATTTAAAAATCAACAGCAAAACCATTTTCTGCATGTCTCTTACTGAATTGGGGATGAGTTTGAATATGCTCAAAATTAACCTAAAACTTCACATTTGATTAAATTAAGATCCACATCTGAAGACATGGATAACAATTCATTTTTAATAAAAAGAACCAATTATAAAAAGGAGATATATTAGAAAGCTGAGAAGCAAGCCAAATTATATTAGGTAGCTGTACAGTTACATCTTTAAGGCCAGTATCTCTTTAAGAGATAATTTCATCAGTATTTATTTAAATTACTTTATATATTACATTCGGCTGAAATAGCAATTCTGAGTTTAATTCAGATAACATAAATAAGTTTTGCTTTTATTCTTTGACATTTTATAAATCTTTGCAAATAATGTTAATTTTTTCTGGGGGATGGGGTGGGGATAAAAATGAAGAACATTAAATTTGCCTTTTCAGCTGCCTTTTTCTGTCTGTAGGCTCTGAGCGCATTTTGAATTTTTGAAGGAAGAAAAAAGCTCACAGTTTGCACACTTGCTTTATTTCTACTCCCTATCTGCTTAACAACCATTGAGAAGGATTGCTACCTATCTAGAGATCCTTCCTAAGTTGACCTTTTCTCTGAAACATAATAATAGCCTAATAGATGAGCAAATAAATGTTAGGAAATGTTAGCTCTCCTTGGTAGATGTGATCATTTATTTCCTTTTCCAGTTTTATAATATTTTATAATCAGTTAATACAGAATGGTAAACTGAGAAATATGCCAGACTTGGCATAAAAACTCCTAGATTCTATTCCTGGTAATTCAATTTATTTGACACTGTGTCTTGCACAAGTCACTTAGATTTTTCTGAACCTCAGTGTCTCTATCTGTGAAATGGAAATACCAACTCCTGCCTATGATGAATGTAGTAAATTTGTTTGGCCTTAGCATCCATTTCCAGCTTCTTTGGTCTGACCTTCTTATTCTACAGAGACTGGGGAGCCAAAAAAAAAATCCATACTTCCCAGGGTTCCTCAATGCTAAGGTTTGGAAGCAAATTGCGTCCTATCATTTAGAAGTATTTATTCAAGCTTCAGAAAGTGGGGCTAATATGGAAGTCATATTCCTGCAGCTTTTGTTTTTTTCTTCTAGAAAATAGGTTGCAAAGCTATGGGGTTTTCCTTCAATAGTGTTCCAGCATTCATCTCTAGTTAGTAAAGGTGGCAGCAGAAGCAGTGGCAGCTTTCGCATTTCCAGGCCACAGCTATAGCAAAATGTTCTTGGCTTGACAATACCGGTGATGGCCTCTTGCTTTTTATCTTCCAATTTTGGCAAAATCTGCAGTCCTCCTAGTGGTTCAGTTGTGCAGTGTTTGGGGCTTGTTCCTGGAGACCCAGCTTAGAATGTGCTCTTCCCAAACTTCTAATTATTTTGTAAACATATATTTTATTGAATTAAACCCATTTTTCTTAACATACATAAGTGTGTATATTTATGCTTTTGAATGTTAATACTTGGTCTTATTTTAAGATGCTTTGTTAAAATGCTATATGGACATAGGAATTACACACACACACACACACACACACACACACACAACAAGATTTGCGACATTCTTTGTCTAGTAGATCTTTCTTTTCTTTTCTTTTTTTGTGATAGTGTCACTGTCACCCAGGCTGGAGTGCAGTGGCACATCGTGGCGATCACAGCTCACTGTAGCCTCAAACTCCTGGTCTCAAGCGATCCCCCTACTTCAGCCTCTTATCGTGACTAGTGGCATTTAACTGGAACATACCTTGTAATGTTTTCTGCTTACACCCTGGTAATGGGGTCAGGGCAGAGTGAATTGTGGTACAAGAGGGTGGCCTTATGCTTCTCAAGCAACTTAAGGTCTGGCTATGTAGGGGTACTTGGTCTTGAGTAATTTCCTTGCTCCTGGGCTCTATTCTTCATATCAACTGCCTTTGATTAGAATTTTCTGCAGCTCTTGTGAATTTCAAGAATCTCAAAGTCAGGGTACTGGGTTATTTCTTGCTTTCCCTTTTTTTCTTATAAGCAATGTCCTTTGGGAAACTAAGGTTAGAAGTTTGAAATTGTAAAGGATTGCGCCAATTCTTAACATCATTGGTTATTCTGCGATGCAATCCTGGTATATTTCCTGCAAGAAATCAAATTATTCAGTTTGAAAATATGATGATTCTTAAAACATAACAGGAAAGCTGTATGTGCTAAATCAGCACTCTGGGGTCTCAAAATTTCTGAGTTATGGTTAGCTAATCTCATTATTACCACTCATTTAATAAAGCCACCTATAATATTTGCAACTTTGGATTTGTGGTGGGTATGGTAAGTAAATCGTGATTTTTTTCCTTAACCTTGGGGAACTTAAGATTTTTAATCAGTGGACTGCTCTGCTCTGATCAAACACAATCAATTTTAAAGGAAAAGTGTTCCTAGTACTATTCTGAATTGATAAGCACTTACCAAAAACCAAATGTTAGTTTTACATTAGTAATGTATGCATATTTTATACTTCCTTATATCAAAATGATGCAAAAGAGGGTTTTGACTGCAACATATGGTAGGAATTAAATAATACCTGGTAACTGCCTTAACTGCCTGGTGGCTTTATTTTTTTATTTTTTTGTTAATTTCTTTTTATTCTTTATTTTTCTATAGGTTATTGGTGTTTGGTTACATAAGTAAGTTCTTTAGTGGTGATTTGTCAGATTTTGGTGCACCCATCACCTAAGCAGTATACACTGCACCCTATTTGTAGTATTTCATCCGTCATTCCCCTTTCAACCTTTCCCCCAAGTCCCCAAAGTCTATTGTATCATTCTTATGCCTTTGCATCCTCATAGCTTAGCTCCCACATATCAGGGAGAACATACGATGTTTGGTTTTCCATTCCTGAGTTACTTCACTTAGAATAATAGTCTCCAATCTCATCCAGGTCACTGTTAATTCCTTTTTATGGCTGAGTAGTAATCCATTATATATATATATATATATATATATATATATATATATATATATATATATATATACATACATACACACACACCTACCATATATATACCTACTATATATATATACACCATATATATATTTATATATATACCTACCATATATATACCTACTATAGTATATACTATATATAATATACTATATATATATGTATACTACAGTTTCTTTATTCACTCATTGATTCATGGGCATTTGGGTTGGTTCCACAACTTTGCAATTGCAAATTGTGCTGCTATAAACGTGTGTGCAAGTATCTTTTTCGTATAATGACTTTTCCTCTGGGTAGATACCCAGTAGTGGGATTGCTGGATCAAATGGTAGTTCTACTTTTAGTTCTTTAAGGAATCTCCACACTGTTTTCCATAGTGGCTGTACTAGTTGACATTCCCACCAGAGGTGTTCCCTGATCACCACATCCATACCAATATCTACTGTTTTTTGAGTTTTTGATTATGACCATTCTTGCAGGAGTGAGGTGGTATCGCACTGTGGTTTTGATTTGCATTTCCCTGATCATTAGTGATGTTGAGCATTTTTTCATATGTTTGTTGGCCGTTTGTATATCTTCTTTTGAGAATTGTCTATTCATGTCCTTAGCCCACTTTTTGATGGGATTGTTTGTTTTATTCTTACTGATTTGTTTGAGTTCGTTGTAGATTCTGGATATTAGTCCTTGGTCAGATGTATAGATTGTGAAGATTTTCTCCCACTCTGTGGGTCATCTGTTTACTCTGTGGACTGTTCCTTTTGCCGTGCAAAAGCTCTTTAGTTTAAGTCCTAGCTATTTATCATTGCTTTTGGGTTCTTGATCATGAAATCCTTGCCTAAGTCAATGTCTAGAATGGTTTTTCCAATGTTTTTGTCTAGAATTTTTACAGTTTCAGGTCTTAGATTTAAGTCCTTAATCAATCTTGAGTCGATTTTTGTATAAGCTGAGAGATGAGGATCCAGTTTCATTTTCCTACATGTGGCTAGCCAATTATCCTAGCACCATTTGTTGAGAAGGGTGTCCTTTCCTCACTTTATGTTTTTGTTTGCTTTGTCGAAGATCAGTTGGCTGTGAGTATTTGGGTTCATTTCTGGGTTCTCTATTCTGCTCCATTGGTCTATGTGCCTATATTTATACCAGTACCATGCTGTTTTGGTGACTATGGTCTTATAGTATAGTTTGCAATCAGGTAGTGTGATGCCTCCAGATTTGTTTTTTTGCTTAGTCTTGCTTTGGGTATGTGGGCTCTTTTTTGGTTCCATATGAAGTTTAGAATTGTTTTTTCTAATTCTGTGAAGAATTATGGTGGTATTCTGATGGGGACTGCATTGAATTTGTAGATTGCTTTTGGCAGTATGGTCATTTTCACGATATTGATTCTACCTATCCATGAGCATGGGATGTGTTTCCATTTGTTTGTGTCATCTATGAGTTCTTTCAGGAGGGTTTTAGGAGGGTTTTTTAGTTTTCCTTGTATAGGTCTTTTGCCTCCTTGGTTAAGTATTCTTAAGTTTTTTATTTTCAGTTATTGTAAAAGGGGTTGACTTCTTGATTTGATTCTCTGCATGGTTGCTGTTGGTGTATAGAAGAGCTACTGATTTGTGTACATTAATCTTGTGTCTAGAAACTTTGCCGAATTCTTTTGTTACTTCTAGGAGCTTTCTGGAAGAGTCTTTAGGGTTTTCTAAATAAATGATCATATTGTCAGCGAACAGTGACAGTTTGACTTCCTCTTTACCAATTTGGATGCCCTTTATTTATTTCTCTTTCCTGATTGCTCTGGCTAGGACTTCCAGTACTATGTTGAAGAGGAGTGAGAGTGAGCATCCTTGACTTGTTCCGGTTCTCAGAAGGAATGCTTTCAACTTTTCCCCATTCAGTGTTATTTTCGCTGTGGGTTTGTCATAGATGGCTTTTATTGCATTAAGATATGTCCCCTGTATGCCGATTTTGCTGAGAGTTTTATCGTAAAGTGATGCTGGATTTTGTCAAATGCTTTTTCTGCATCTATTGAGATGATGATGTGATTTTTGTTTTTAATTCTGGTTTATGTGGTGTTTTATTGACTTGCATATGTTAAACCATCCCTGCATCCCTGGTATGAAACTCACTTGTTCATGGTGGGTTATCTTTTGATATGTTGTTGGATTTAGTTAGCTAGTATTTTGTTAAGGATTTTAGTGTCTATGTCCATCAGAGATATTGGTCTGTAGTTTTCTTTTTTGACTGTGTCTTTTCATGGTTTTGGTATTAGGGTATGCTGGCTTCGTAGAATGAATTAGGGAGGGTTTCCTCTTTATCTTGTGGAATAGTGTCAAAAGATTTGTTACCAATTCTTCTTTGAATGTCTTGTGGACTTCTGCTGTGAATCCGTCTGGTCCTGGCCTTTTCTGTTTGTAATTTTTAAATTACCATTTCAATCTCACTGCTTGTAATTGGTCTGTTCAGGGTATCCAGTTCTTCCTGATTTAAGCTAGGAGGGCTGTATTCTTCCAGGAATTTATCTATCTCTTTTAGGTTTTCTAGTTTATGTCTAAAGGTGTTCATAGTAGCCTTGAATGATCCTTTGTATTTCAGTGATGACAGATGTAAATCTCCTGTTTCATTTCTTAATGAGGTTATTTGGATTTTCTCTCTTCTTTTCTTGGTTAATCTTGCTAATGCACTATCAATTTTATTTATCTTTTCAAAGAATGAGCTTTTTGTTTCATTCATCTTTTGTATTTTTGTTTGTTTCAGTTTTATTTAGTGCTGCTCTGATCTTGGTTATTTCCTTTCATCTGCTGGGTTTGGGTTTGGTTTGTTCTTGTTTCTCTAGTTTCTTGAGATGTGACCTTAGAAGGTCAGTTTAGGTACTTAGGTACTTAGGGCTATGAGCTTTCCTCTTAGCACCACCTTTGCTGTATCCCAGAGGTTTTGATAGATTGCATCATTATTGTCATTCAGTTCGAAGAATTTTTTAATTTCCATCTTGATTTTTGTTTTTTCCCTAATGATCTTTCAGCAGCAGGTTATTTAATTTCCATGCATTTGCATGGTTTTGAGGATTCCTTTTGGAGTTGATTTACAGTTTTATTCCACTGTGTTCTGTGAGAGTGCTTGATATAATTTCAATTTTTTAAAATTTATTGAGGCAAACTTTGTGGCCAATCATATGGTCTATCTTGAAGAAACTTCCATGCACTGTTGAATAAAGTGTGTATTCTGTGGTTGTTGGATAAAATGTTCTGTACATACCTGTTAAGTCCATTTGTTCCAAGGTATAGATTAAACCCATTGTTTCTTTGTTGACTTTCTGTCTTGATGACCTGTTTAGTGCTGTCAGTGGAATATTGAAGTCTGCCACTATTACTTTGTTGCTGTCTATCTCAATTTTAGGTCTATTCGTAATTATTTTATAAATTTGGGAGATCCAGTGTTAGGTGCGTATATATTTACGATTGTGATATCTTCCTGTTGGACAAGGCCTTTTACCATTATATAATGTCCCTCTTTGTCTCTTTTAACTGCTGTTGCTTTAAAGTTTGCTTTGTCTGACATAAGAATAGCTAACCCTGCTCACTTTTGGTGTCTATTTGTGTGAAATCCCTTTACCCCTTTGCTTTAGGTTTATGTGAGGTTTCGTGTGCTAGGTGAGTCTCCTGAAGACAGCAGATAGTTGGTTGGTGAGTTCTTATCCATTCTGCAGTTCTGTATCTTTTAATTGAAGCATTTAAGCCATTTACATTCAATGTCAGTACTGAGATGTGAGGTACCATTCCATTTATCGTGCTATTTGTTACCTGTGTACCTCTTTTTGTTGTTGTTGTTGTTGTTTTTGCTAATTAACTTGTATTTTTGTTTTATAGGTCCTGTGTGATTTATGCTTTAAAGACGTTCTGTTTTGATGTGTTCCCAGGATTTGTTTCAAGATTTAGATAGAGCTCCTTTTAGCAGTTCTTGTCTTGGTGGCTTGGTAGTGGCAAATTCTCTTAGCCATTTGTTTTTCTGAAAAAGACTGTATCTTTCCTTCATACATAATGCTTAGTTTTACTGGACACAAAATTCTTGGCTGATAATTATTTTGTTTGAGGAGGCTAAAAATAGAGCCCCAATCATTTCTAGCTTATAGGGTTTCTGCTGAGAATTCTGCTGTTAATCTGATAGGCTTTCCTTTGTAGGTTACCTTGTGCTTTTGTCTCAGAGCTCTTCAGATTCTCTCCTTTGTTGTAACTTTAAATAACTTGATGACAATATGCCTAGACAACGATCTCTTTGTGATTCATTTCACAGGTGTTCTTTGTGCTTCTTGTATTTGGATGTGTAGGTCTCTAGCAAGGCCGGGGAACTTTTCCTCGATTATTCCCCCAAATATGTTTTCCAAAATTTTAGATTTCTCTTCATCCTCAGGAACACCGATTATTCTTAGGTTTGGTCATTTAACATAATCCCAGACTTCTTGGAGGCTTTGTTCAGATTTTCTTATTCTTTTTTCTTTGTCTGTGTTAGATTGGGTAAATTTGAAGGCCTAGTCTTCAAGCTCTGAATTTCTTTCTTCTACTTGTTCAGTTCTATTGCTGAGACTTTCCAGAGCATTTTGCATTTCTATAAGTCTGTCCAATGTTTCCTGAAGTTTTGATTGTTTTTTCTTTATGCTATTATTTACTTGAATATTTCTCCCTTTACTTCTTGTATCATTTTTTGAATTTCCTGGCATTGGACTTTGTTTTTCTCTGGTGCCTCCCCGATTATCTTAATTACTAACCTTCTGAATTCTTTTTCAGGTAAATCAGGGATTTCTTCTTGGTTTGGATCCATTGCTGGTGAGCTAGTGTGATTTTTTGGGGGTGTTTTGTCATATTACCAGAGTTGGCTTTCTGTGTGTGTGTGTGTGTTTTTTTTTTTTTTTCACATTTGGCTTGACTCTGTCAGAGGGAAGGTCTAGGGCTGAAGGCTGTTTTTCAGATTCTTTTGCTCCATGATGTGTTCCCTTGATGTAGTGCTCTCCCACTTTTCCTATGGATGTAGCTTCCTGGGAGCTGAGCTGCAGTGATTGTTATCTCTCTTCTGGGTTGGCCAGCCAGCAAGTCTGCCAGGCTCTGTGCTGGTACTGGGAGTTGTCTGCACAGAGTCCTGTGATGTGAACTGTCTATTGGTCTCTCAGCCATGGATACCAGCACCTGATCCAGTGAAGGTGGCAGTGGGGTGAAATGGACTCTGTAAGGGTTCTTAGCTTTGGTGGTTTAATGTTCTATTTTTGTGCTAGTTGACCTCCTGCTAGGAGGTAGCGCTTTCCAGAGAGCATCAGCTTTGCTAATATGGAGAGGAACTGGGGTTGAGCAGGGTCCTAGAACTCCCAAGAGTATATGCCCTTTGTGTTCAGCTTCCAGGGTGGGTAGGGAAGGGCCGTCAGGTGGGGGTGGGGCTAGGCGTGTCTGAGCTCAGGCTCTGCTTTGGTGGGTCTTGCTGTGGCTGCTGTCAGAGTTGGGGGTGAGTTTTCCAGGTCAACAGAGTTGTGTACCTAGGAGGATTATTGCTGCCTTTGCTGAGTCATGCAGGTTGTCAGGGGAGTAGGGGAAAGCTGGCAGTCACAGGCTTCACCCAGCTCCCACACAATCTGAAGAGCTGGTCTCACTCCCACTGTGCCACCTCCAACAGCACAGAGTCTGTTTCCAGGCAGCAGGCAAGCAGGGCTTGAGAACTTTCCCCAGGCTACCCGCCTCCCAGCTGTGAAAGAAAAGGACTTTAGTTCTTCCCCCACCTGTGGAATCTGCTGGCTGGATTCATGCCCTCCAGCAAGTTCTGGCCAGGAGGCTTCTCACCTGGTTCAAATTGTTACAAAGTTCAGCTGGAGACTTCCTTCTCCCTGTGGCATTTTCCCCATACCTCTGGACACCCTCCTGAAGGATCCCTGTGGTGCCAGGCATGAATGGCCTGCTTGGGGACCCAATGAGTTCCCAGGACCCTTCCTGCTGCTTCTTCTACCCTTGTATTTTGCTTGGCTGTCTAAATTGACTCAGCTCCAGGTAAGGTCAGAAACTTCTGCAAACCTTCCGTTTCCCCAGTAGGGGTGTGTGTTCAGGAGCAGAGGATCTCCCTTTTCTACTTCCACAGTTTGGGCACTCACAGTATCTGGGGTGTCTCCCAGGTCGTGCAGGATCACTCTGCTTCCTTCAGAGGGTCTGTGGGTCCTCTGGGGATTCATGGTTTGTTCTTGCAGTCATTCTGGAGCTAAAATTCACGATGCGAGCCTCCGCATGCCGCTCTGTCTGAGTAGGAGCTGCAATCTAGTCCTGCCTCTCATCCACCGTGATGATCTCCTTAATTGCTGCTGCTCACCTCCCGCTATGCAGCTCAGTTCCTAACAGGACACAGACTGGTACAGATCTGTGGCTTGGGGGTTGGGGACCCACAATTATGGAGGTTGAGAAGTTCCTAGGATCTGCAGACAGCAAGCTGGAGACCTGTGAGAGCCAGAGATGTAAATTCCAGTCTGAGTTCAAAGTCCTGAGAACCAGGAGAGTTGGTGGCAGTCTCAGAGAGTAGGAGAAAACTGATGTCCCAGCTTAACTGTCAGTCACAAAGAGAGCGTGAATTATTTCTTCCTCCATGTCTTTGTGCTATTTTGGGCCCCAGTGGCTTTAATATTTGGAGAAGTGAGCAGGATTTAGCTATATGAATTCTTTCTACTTTGCTAAATCAAACACATAATTGCACAAATTCAGATATAGTCTGTTTTTACTTCTAAAAAGTTTTTCAAAGCCAGGCTTAAGCCATGTATGAATAAGATAAACCTACGTCATTGAACAATCTTCTCAACCCTTTTGAAACGTACATTGTTACCCATGTGAATTAGAAGATTGCCTGGACAGCTGTAAATTTAGAAAATCATGTTTTAAAATGTTTTTAGAATTTATCTATGAATGTAATAAATGTTGGGCAAGTTTGAAACATTTAACCTCTATTAATACTTAAATAATTATCATCTCCAGGCTAATTTTTATCACTATATATCTATAACTGTATATACATCTATTTTTATATTAACAATTTTATAAGTGTGTGTGCAGTAGTCCTCTCTTATTCTCAGTTTTGCTTTCCTCACTTTCGTTTTCTGCAGTTTCAGTTACCTGTGGTCAACTGTAGCCTGAAAACATTAAGTGGAATGTTTTAGAAATAAACAGTTCTTAAGTTTTAAATTGGATGTCATTCTGAGTAGGGTGATGACATTTAGCAGTTCTCACCTGGGACATGAATCTTCCGTTTGTCTACAGAATACCATAGTCGCTTAGTAGCCATCTTGTTTATCAGACCAACTGTCTGGGTATCTAAGTGCTAAATTAAATTGCTTGACATAAGGTTTGCTGGAGGAGATCCAGAATTAGACATTAATTATTTTTAGAAATTAGGCTTTGTAACTATAAAATAGTTATATCATTCAAATATATGTACTGATTTTTTCAAAATGAGAGCATGCTATAGATGCACGTAATCTTTGCACATACATTAACATTGTCATATTTAATATACATCCAATACTTGTTCTAACTTATGAGAACTCAAACATTTTTCTTTTATAATTACTGCTTTTCATGTCATGTTTACATTTTTGCATCTATAATATAATGGTGTGTAATATAAAGTTGTATAATGTGTTACACTATGTAAATATTTATCTCTATATGCCTATAGCACTTACATGGCTTTACTTTTAAATTTAATTTGTGATTCTTTTTAAATTTATTTTTGGGTAGAATAGAGCGGAACCTATCTGATTATATTCTATATTGCTCAACAATTGTCCCAACTCCATCATTAAATTATTCTTTTCCTGTGTCAATTTAAGAAGCCATTTTTATCTTGTACCGAATTTTTATATATTTGTGTTGCTGTTCTCTCTTTTGAAGGTGCCATACTTTCTTGATTATGATAAATTGAGACTATGCTTTAGAACCTGGAAGGATAAGTCCTTCCTCATTAGCCTTCCTTTTCATGGTTTTCCTGGGTACCTAGAGAACTTTAAGATAATTTTCATCAATTCACTGAAAAAATATTAGTATTCTGACAGAAAATGAATACATTCATAGCTTAATTTTTGGAAGAATTTGTCTTTATAAAGATGTGCCTTTCTCTCTCATAATCTGTGTGTTTTCTACATATTCATTTTGCTTATATGCTTCTGAGTAAAATATTATAATTTTCTTCATATAGGTGATCTAATTTTCTGTGAAGTTAATTCCTTATTTTTATGTTTCTTGTTACTATTGTATGTTGCTTTAAGTTTTCTAATTTTGAAAACATTAATTTTTTGGCTTATATGTCCATTTCAATTATTTTATTTTCTATTTTTAATAGCTTCTTAGTTGGTTTCTTCATCTTTTTTGTAGGTATGTAAATATTTAGATTTTTCCTATATTTTTGTATTTTTCATTGTTCATATTGTATTTTCTTCTCTAATTGCATTGGCTATCTGATTCAGAATAATCATGTGTGCATTATTTGTGGGAAACATGATTATTATTTTTGGCATTGATGCCACTACCTGGTATTAATGGTCATGTATGCAATGTTTAAATAGGAAGTTGGCTAGAAGGGTTGTGATTGATTTTAATATATCAAGTCTTTCTATTCATGTTTTTAAGAGATTTGCCATTGGGAGTGGGTGTTAAATTTATTTAATGTTTTTTTTTCAATGTATTAAAATTATTTGAGATTTTCTTATTTAACTTAGTCATGATATTTATTTGATTAATAAATTCCCATATGTTACCTATGTATTCCTGGTATAAATACAAAGAATATTAATTTAAAAATGTACAGCTGGATTTGATTAGTTAATGTTTTATTTAGAGTTTTGATTCCTTATATTCACTATTCACATTAGGATAGATAGATACAGATATAGGCACAGATATAAAAATAATACATATAAATATATAAATATCCATATAATGTTTTAGTATTTAGACATAGTCTAGTTGAAAGCATGGCCACCATCAGCTCTTTAGACTCATTTCTCTATTGTTAAAAACGAACTGACTTTCTTTTTTTTTTTAATTCCTCTGCAAAACCCTTGAAGAAAGATTCTCGTTGGTCACTTTGAGACCAACTCACTGTGGTTCGTTATATGCTTGTGAATTGGAAGAAGAGCAGTTCCCCATTGAAGCAAGGATGCTGGACTATAATTTATATCTTTAATCTCTGTAACAATTTAATTGAATATTAATTGAATTTAAATGCTGATTTGTTTGTAGAAAACTTGAAACAGAAGCTTTGGAAATTTCTTTTTTTAAATCTAGGACCTCTGGGGTTGGAAAGTGATGGGAAAGTGGTGGATAGAATATTTCTTTGACAATGTTCTCAATTTATTTCATTTTTTATTTCAGTTTCAATTTATTTCTTTGACAAGTTCTCACTTTATTTCATTTTTGGGGGATCTATTCATGTTTGAATTAATCATTAAAATATATTTTTTAATTCAGTTTTGTACATATCTCATATTTTAGATGTTATACTCTTTTCATATACAATATCATATGCTCATCTTTCTCTCTTTTGCCTAGTCTTATCAGCATTTTGCTTATTATACAAGTCTTTACAAAGAAGCATTTCCTGTATTTAGTGTTAATTCTACTATTTTCTGTTCCTCACTTATTAGTTTTTCTTTTTCTTAATAATTTATTACCTTACTTTACTCAGAATAGTAAATGTATCCTCCATACCTGGGAAGAGAATGCAGACTGTAGAGCACAGTGTATAATTTGTTTTACATATAGAATACGAATGTTGATGTATATACGTATACCATATTTTGATTCTAATACATATTTTGTTTTCACATTTTAATCTCTTCAATAAAGATTTGCCTTACAAATGATAGTTTAATTGGCAGCATGTTTACCTCTCCTAGTAGAACATAGTAAATGTACATTTATAAATAGTGACATTTTTGATTTGGCGAAACCTGTATCTGTTAAATTACTTATCAGTAATACTATCATAACTCTTTAAATATAAACTTATGTTTTTATATTTATACCTGATGTGTATATGTTAGTCTATCCATAATATTATATTTTTACCAATTTTATACTCACCTAAATTTTTTTTCTGAATGCAAATAGTAGTTATTTTCAGATATTTAATGTGACAGAAACTATAGCATTCATATATGCATCTGATATGGTTTGGCTGTGTCTGCACCTAAATCTCAACTTGAATTGTATCTCCTAGAATTCCCACGTGTTGTGGGAGGGACCCAACGGGAGATAATTGAATCATGGGGGCTGGTCTTTCCCGTGGTGTTCTCATGATAGTGAATAAATCTCATGAGATCTGATGGGTTTATCAGGGGTTTCCGCTGTTGCTTCTTCCTCATTTTTCTCTTGCCACTGCCATGTAAGAAGTACCTTTTGCCTCCTGTCCTGGTTCTGAGGCCTCCCCAGCCATATGGAACTATAAGTCCAATTAAACCTCTTTTTGTTCCCACTTTGGGGTATGTCTTTATCAGCAGCATGAAAGCGAACTAATACAGCCTTTTAAATTTTTAGCTATGATATGGAAGAAACTCTAACCAGTTAAGAGAGAGTTCAAATTAAAATTTTAGTGGATAAGGTGAATTAGTTAAAAAAATAATTAACTGCACAGCTTGAAAAAAGTCACCATATGGTTGACTAAAAATTGCTGTAAATTTAGTTGTTTAGAAAAAAATTAAATTATTTTTGAATGAAGTATACATTAAAACAAAGAATAAGATAAATTGATCTAAATTCAAATTTAGTAGAAGTGTTGGAGGCAAAATTGGAAGATATGTCACCAGTTGTCTTTTAGTTCACTATAACATCACTTTCTCAATACGCAAATCATGCCAGGTACTGAGCTGGGCACTGATGGGGCTGAGATGAAAAAGACAGCTTCCATGTTCTGAAGGAATTATTGTCTAATCCTACATGGGCAGGATCTAAACAATACTGGACCATTCTTTGACTTCTATTCTTATGGATTCAATATCAAAAGATATTGAATTATTCTTAGACTTAGTTATAGAACAATAAATTAACTAAAATAGAATGTATAGTTTCCAGGCCACTGTAACCACTCCATGCTCCACAGAGCGATCACGCAAAATAAGAAATAAATATAAAAATATAACAAACTGAAAGTATACTTACACTGGAATATAAAACTTTTTGACCAGGTGTCACAAATGGCTACTGAGAATAATAGACGGTTTCAGAACTTATAAGTTAGCATTTATGGAGCATCTGCTCTTGGGAGCCCTATTCTAGACTTCTCCCCTAGTCATCCACATCTTACAACTGCCTCATCATCCACCTTTTTTCTGACCAATAACCTAGATTCTTTGATTCTTCTTATTTTCTCATGGCTTTCATGCAAACCATGAATGAGTCCTACCTTCTGGCTCTACTTTCAAAATATATTCAAAATCTTACCATTTTTAATCACCTTCACAGTTACTACCTCAATCCAAGGCACTACTACCTCCTGCCTGGTCCATTGCAATACCTCCCAACTTGTCTGTCAGCCTCCACTTTTACAATGCCCATTTCCCTCAAAGCAGCCAAAGTAATAGTCTTGAAATACAAGATGGATTACATGACACCCTTGCTCTAACTGTCTGTAAACTTCTTATTCCATAAATATAAAATTTAAATATCTTACCACAGTCTATATTGGCTGTACAGGATCTGGCCCTTTTGAACTCTATCTTATACGCATCTGTCCCTCATTCACTTAGCTCCAGCCACACCATTCTTCTGAGGTCTTCGAGCTCACAGGGCTCATCACCACCTCACAGCCATTGTACCTTTTGTTTTCTCTGCTTACAACATTCCTCCACCCAGATCTGCCAATACTTTCTTCAATACAATCAGGTATTTGCTTAAATGTTATTGGTAATTTCTTCTTAAATAGCCATCATCGTTATTTGTTTCTAACTCCTTAATCTGCTAATATGTTTTTATAACACTTTTTGCTAGCTAAAATTTTCATAGTTGTTTACTTGTTTTATCTTTACTCCAGCTCTACTCTCCACATACATATTCAATATAGCTCCATGGGGGCAGGAGACTTATCTCTCTGATTCTCTACTATATTTCTTAAATCTAGCAGAGTAACTGCCACAGAGCAGGCACTCAAGAAATATTTGATGAGTGAGTGTGTGCATTGATTTGGTAAGAAAGAAGAATATGTGGTGATAAAAAGGAGTTAAGCAAAAGTCAAAATATGTGTTGTCAAGGAACTTCAGGTCTAATCAGAGGGAAAAAAAAAGACACCAATGTAAAATAATATGAAGGACTGCAGATTGAATGCATAATACCTGAGTAAGGCAGAGCAAAGCAGGACATTTTATTATGTATATTACATGGGCCATCTGTCTCCCTCCTGTTTCTTTTGCATTTCTCCGTAATGCCTAATATGGTCTCTGCACATAAATGTTGACTATGACTAATTGATTATTTTTTAAAGTATGCAAGTACAAGTAAAAAAATAATATTGAAAACAAAACTGAAGTGAAGGCTTGAAATAGCTTCAATTACCTGTGATTTAATTTTTCCATACTTAGTCACAAACAAGGATGAATATGTATTGGCTTTTGTTTAGCTGTTGGACATTCATCAAACCAGTGTTTTTTTATGGCATGGTACCATCTTTTTAAGACACTAATAGCTAAACATAAATTTATTTAAAGTTTCAATTCCCAATGCTTTACACTTCCATGTCTGTGATTCTTATAAATTTTAGGAAACTAGGTTACACAGTTTCCTTGAGAATCAACTTTGTTATAAATTGACTATATTCTTAGGACGTAGATGAAGAACATACAATTTATTGAGTTGGTTATTGATTTAAAAAACTGTTGCTCATTGATTTGGGTAGGCTGGGGTTAAAAATGTAAATAAGATGCAGTCCCAGCTCTCAAGAAGCTTACATTGTACTGATTAATTCATCTGATGTTTTTAAACAATTGAGAATTAACAGATTCCCAACGCTGTCCCAGACATTAGGAATGTAATTGTGAAGAAGGCTGTCAAGGTCCCCACAGTCACAGTACTTAAGGTTTGGGAAATAGATATGGTGCAAATGTCAACAAATGTGATTTTACATAAAGAGAAAGAATAGAACAGAATGAGTGCATTTAACAGAAGATGACAAATTTGAACCTTCAGGGAAAGCCTGCCCGAGGAGTGACATTGAGATTAGACTCCAAGTGTAAATCTGGGCAAAGGTGAGGGAAGGGGAGAGGAATGGGCATGCAAACAAATCCCCATAGTACAGTGCAGTTAAGGGCTTTAGTACAAGTAAGGAAGTGAGTATAGAATCTGATGGTTGCAATGAAAAAGGCAAGATAAACATTACTCTTTGGCATCAGCAAAGCTTTACCCAAGAGAAGATACTTCGGTTGCAGGAGTATGGATTTTCCAGAAGGATAAGGGAGTAAATTAGCAGTTGGAGGGAAGAGCATGTGCACCAGATGAAGATGCTAATACTGGAGGAGAAAGTGAACAAGTGGTGTGACTTAGCCTCACACAAAGTGGACTGGGGGTGTGAACGGATCTAGGGAGCCTGGCTGGTGGACTTTTGCTTTCCTATCTGCATGTCAGAGACTGTGACATTTAGAAAGATGATTAACACTTGGGAAGAGTACAAGACAGTGTTTGGCCCGCTGATCTGTCCCAAGAGCTGCCTAAGGCGAACTCATAGCATGACAAAGTGCAGTGCTGCAGACCAGGGATTTGCTCTTGCTTGGATGCCATGCTGGCTGAAAAATGCACACAGTTGCAGGATAGAGAAATGGGCTTTATTGCTTTACACAACGCTGTCCTTGGCTCTGGACATGAAACAGAGAAGTGGGGCTAATAGGTTTCCAAAATGTTTGGGAAATGAACAAACTATGTTACATAAATGTAGATTACATTGGTGTATAAAAGTGTAGATTAGGTTGTGTTTTTTAAAAGCATAAGAAATAAACGGGGGCCGTTAATTTTCCCTTTAAGAAAGATATTTATGAAGATGGTTAATAATCTGTTCTGGACTGCTGAAGAAGCTAGATAATCTTCAGGGGATTTTTTTCCCCACAAATCAAAAAATGTGTATGTATTATGACATCCGGTTTTACACAAATACAGAAAAAATTGAGATGAGAGAGATTCATAGCAACGAGTTGAATTCTTTAAGGCAGACTTTTTAAAAAAGGGATCTGCGTTAGAGAGGGTTCTTATTGCAGAGGACTGTGATTTTCTTTATGGTGGCCTGAGAACATGGATTTACTTGGCTGTTATATACAATTGCTGCCTTCTGTGGCTTTCTAGGCAACAACATTTTTCATATACGCAAAAAGGAGGCAATTGGATTTGTGAAATGATGTGTTGTTCTGTGTGTTGTTGTTGTTTGATTAGCTGTATGAAAGCTGCCTTCTCATGAGAAGTCTTAATTGTAATAATTCTTTGGCAGAACTTAGTGGTGCCTTTTAGGCAATGCTACTATTTAAGGCTTTGCTTCTGCCCTAGCCAAGCAGATGTATTTGTTTATATGTCTGATCTAAACGGGAAGACAAAAGGGATTCTGCTCACAGCCTTGTACTTCCTCTAATACAAATAAAAAGGGAGGAGAGATGCAAGCAACTGGAGCTCATGGAAATGAGAGTGGAAATGAAGAAAAACCATGTAGGTGTGAATCAAACTGAGGCAGCTGTGCTTTCCTTTTAAGTGCTGCAACAGCTGTGTGGGGGCTGAAATGAAGCAGAGGGAGAGCTAGCTGGTGCGCTGGTTTGGGGTGGGTGGTCTCCTCTCTCTGTGTGCCTGAGAGAGAATGGATGTATAATTGTCCTGCCTGTGCAAAGATGCTACTGACAGGGCACTTTTCAATTCAGGTGCAGCTAAGCACATAGGCATGTCACTGTTGAAAGCTGTGACTGCACAAGGACTAACAGAGGCAGAGGCTGCTTCTCTCCAAACGTAGATTAAAAGCTTTGAACAGTTGGAAAAGCTTTGAAAGTGGAGGACCTGCAAATTTAGAGCATATAGAATGGAAGAAATGAGACTGAATAATGAAGTGGTCCTTTAGGTGGTAAAATGAGGGTGGTGGGACAGGGACTCCAGGGGAGGCTCACACTCCAGAGGAGTAGGCTGGGTAATAGGGGTGGGATCTATGGATAGCAGTGGAAAATGAAGAGAGCATTACACTTTTTCTTGACTAAAACACTTGAAAAAGGTGTCATGAATTAAGATTTTTATCTTCTGCTACTTCTTAATTCCTTTCCTTTATACTTAATAATGTTATACAATAATGGAAACCTTAAGCAGAAAGCCAAATCCAACAATTACAGTACCAGCAATGACTTTGTAATTTTGTCTGCTGTTTCTACTCAGTGAAAGAAAGGATGCTATTAGTTGTAATAATTCCTTCAAAATATATTTATTGTTCTTTTAGTCATAGGTTAAGAAAACAGGTACAAAATTGCACACACACACACACACACACACACACTCACACTCTTACAGAAAAAATGTACCTAGGAACTTTGTCTATCAAACTTATTTGATTCTAATTTTGGGTTCTTTATCAAATTCTGTTTGTTAAAACTCATTGTCACAGAAAATAGCTTTACCAAAGAGAACGAATAACACCAATTTTTGTGTGGCATTTCTCTCAGGGCACTGTCCCTATATGTTGAAAATGGCACTAGAAATCAACAGTGAATTGTAGAATTAGAGTCAGCCAAGTTTGTTTTTCATTTTTAATTGGTTTGTTGGTTTGCTAACATTAGGGCCAGGGATTCTCCACTTTCATTCTAAATATTTAGTACTTATTGTGAACAGTAAGAAAGGTGGCAGTCCTCTGTGTCTCATTTGTCATTAGTTTGCAATTAAGCAGGGTCAAATGCTCAAAGATAAATACATATAACTCAGGCTTCTGAAAACTGTTTTTGAAAATGAACATATCTTGACAAGCAAAATACATGTTTGTGCATGGATTTCCATTGAATGTGTGCTGAGATTCCTAAAATTGTATATACATTAGGGGTGTGTGTGTGTGTGTGTGTGTGTGTGTGTGCATGCGCTTAATTCTGGCAATGTTGGAAATTGAAATGGGGACTTGTTTAATTTAATATGAGGATCCTAAATACAGATTTTTAGGAGATGGTGTGAAATTGCACATTTATAAAATCCTATTTATTTCAGCAAAGAAAAATATTAACCTTATTTCTATTTTTCTTACTTAGTCTTCAGGTGAGAAAGGAGCAAAAGAATGAATAGCAGGAGGTGATAGGGTTAGGCTGTGTTAGCTTCTTGGTTTTCTGATGGGTGGGAGGGCACCAGTGCTCATCACTACAGCTCTCCCAAGGGATTGGCAGTAATATGAACCTGTATGTTTATTGAAAATAGTGTTTTTCTGCAGAGGATGTGTATTTAAAATATGCATTGCCATGGGTTCTCCAGTATTTGTTTTTAGTGTAAAGGTGCTTTCAAATATAGTAGGTGCTTTTCTGGTAAGCAAAGTATTCAAATATGTAAAGCATCTTGATCTTTGGCTAGCTGATGTGTTTACTAGCTATGTGAGTGGTTAATGTGTCAGGGGCTGTGAATAAATCAAAACTGTGTCTGGTTTCCTGTGATGGGAGCACCAGCACACTGCCTCTTTATGTGATCATTTTTATAGAGACCTCCTTATCACTTTAGAAATCTATATCTACTGATTCTTAGGCATAAGGGCAAGTTACCAGTCGCTTTAAATTGTAAAAGAAACAAGGTAATTTTCCATCTTTGAGAACCTCCTGCATGCTGCTCTGTGGTAATTCCAAATGTCAGCATTTAGCACTGGGTAAAGTGGGCTTTCTCTTTTGGGATGTAAAAATATGGACAAGGAGAAGAGTAAACAGTGACTTGCACTAGGGCCTATTTTTATTTCTGAATTAAAACTGTATGGATTTTTATCACATGGAAAAGCTCTTTTCAATTTTTAAATCAAGTATTTTGAACGTTCTAAGTATGAACTGGACAGTTTGTCGAGATAGTAATAACCTGGTATACTTTGTTATATTCCTTTATTCATAGGAATATTTGTATGGTATTCCTTTATTCATAGGAATTGTCGTATACAAAGATAACACTGCCTCCATGTTTCTCACTCCACCTTGAATGGTATATTCAGGGTGAATTCAGTGGAGAGGTTTAAAATGTGGAATTTTTTAGGCTGTCTATGAACTTGTTGATTTGATGTATTGGAAATAATAATTTAGCTCTTCATCTCAGTTCTGAACTTTTTCTATTTAGCTCAGAAAGCTGGTTCCATTTCATTTTCTTCTATTCAACTAAGAATATAGATTTGGAAATTAACTGGGTACTCTGGGTTATTTCAAAGATCAAGAAAGAATTTTGTTTCCATTTCTCATGTGATATATACAGTTTGGAAGCAGGAAGATGATAACTGAATATGGTCATAACTAATTAAAATATTGTATTCAGGACTGGGATTAAATGTAGCTAAGGAGAAAAATACTACAGATGCTGGAAACCTGTAAGGCTTCTGAATTAGCTGAATCCCCAGCGAATCTTCATTATTGACTAGAGGTAATAGTATGGTATTCTCCTTCTTTGCAAGGCTTGAAAATTTATTGAATTGCCACTAAAAGCTTACAGAAGGTAAGGGAAACTTCCTAGAAGCAATTATGCTACATTTTGCCATTGAAGTTTTCTAAATTTTTCCCTTACGTGATAGGATTTTGAATGAAACTAAGGAAAACAAAATGTTAAAATAGACCATCATAGTCTCGTCTTGAATTAGTCCATACTCACAGGGTTTGAAAAGTGGCAGTTGAATATAGATGTCTCGGAATACAGCTTATCTGCCAAATGACAGATGGTTCAAAGCCAGAAGAGAAATGCTCCAGAAAATGTAGCTGAGGATAAGGCTGATTCTGGAGAGAACTGAGCAGCTGTTTAGTGGTTGTGCTATCACCGATCATTAGCATAGCCTCTTTTTCATTCCGCCACATTAATTTGTTATTATTTTCACTTTTGTGATGACTCAACTATGCCTTTTGTTAGAAAGGATGATATGTGCAGCAAGGTTCACTGAGTACAAATATTCTAAAACTATTATACTGAACTAAATATTTTCTTTTTGATGGGGGAGCATGAATGATTTGTATCACACATTAATTTAAAAAATTTTGAAAATGGATTTTTGTTGTACTTCATTATAATGTTGAGAGCATGTCATTGTGTCTTGCTATTAGAATTCAATTAAAAGAGGCTCCAGAGAAGTAAGAGAAGAACTTCATCATGTAGAGTTCATGAATTGTCATTTATGACCTTTCAAATTACCAAGTATCTAGTTTTTAATTTATTTGTTTAAGTCAACCTTATTGACATAAATGATAAAATGCACCATATTAAGTGTGTGTCAATGGGTTTTGACAAATTCAGCCACCCCTGAACTCCGCTCCCATGTAAACACCACCACAATCAAGATATAGAATGTTTCCATCACCTTCAAATGTTTATGTTCCTTTCTATTTAATCAATCCCACTGGAGCCCCAAGGGATCACTGATCAGTTTCCTATACCTATATATTAGACTTGTCATTTTTTTAGAGTTTCATATTAAAGGAAATCATATAGAATGTACACTTTTGTGTGTAGCTTCTTTTGCTTAACAAAGTCTTTTTAAAGATGCACTTGGTGGTTGTGTGTTTCAATAGTTCATTCCTTTTTATTGATGCATAGTATTTCATTGTATGAATATGTCACAATTCACCTATCGAAATACATTTGCGTTGTTTGGCCATTTTGAATAAAGTCGTATTGAACGTTTGCTTATAGGTCTTCATATGGGCATATATTTTCATTTCTCTTGGTTGAAAACCTTGAAGGGGAATTGTTGAGTTATATGGTAAATGTAAATTTAAATTTATAAAAACTGGGAAACTGTTTTCTAAAGCAGGTATACCATTTTACATTCCCTCTGGAAATATATGTATGAGATTTCCAGTTGTTCTATACTCTTGCCAAGACATGGTATTAACAGTTTTTAAAAATGTTGCCATTGTAATGGCTATATAATATTATCTTATGGTTTTAATTTGCATCACACTGATGACTAAATATGGTAAGCATATTTTCATATGTCATTGTATATATGTGTGTGTGTGTATACATATATATATGTATATGTATGCACATACATATATATATGTATACACACACACACATATGTATATCTTTTTTTGTGGAGTGTCTGTACAGATCTTCTCCCGTTTTCTTATTGGCTTTTTTGTCTCATTGAATTGTGAAAGTTCTTTTTGTATTTTTGAAACAAGTCATTTTTCAGATATATGTATTGTGAATATTTTCTCTGAGTCTGAGCCTTGCCCTTTAATTTTCTTAATAGTGTTTTTTGAAGAGCAGAAATTTTAAATTTTGATCAGGTTCAATTTATTGTTGTTGTTTTTTCTTTGATGGTATTTTGTGTTGAGATACTGATCTCAGTTAATTCTAGCACCATATGTTCCCAGTGATCCAAAATAGAAACGTGGTCATTCTTCATTTATCTCTTCTCTTTGTAGTCTATGTTGATTGCATCTTCTAAATCTCTCCAGGCTCCATCTACTTCTCTCCGTCTACTTCTCTCCCCCCTCACCTCAATTCATCTAGTCTAGACAATCATCTTCTATTGCCTGGTTTGCTGTAATAATGCTCTTGGGTGATCATTCAGAAATATTAACCTGATGACTATACTTTCTGCTTAAAACCCAGCAGTTGATCATCTTTGTTCTTAGAACAAATTATAAACTTTTAAATATAGTCCTTAATGATCTGGACCTAACTTACACTTCCAATTTCCTCTTTTCCTACTTTCTCCCTCTAATGTACCTCTGCTTACAATGTTCAACTTTTTAACCATGCTGAACTTTGATTATTTCTTCAAAGACTCTAGCTTTTTCTTAGTTTCATGTCCTTGGTCAAGCTATAGTCTACTCACTTGTTGTGAGTCTAGCTAGGCATCCTTTCCTCTGGGGTATTTCCCCTATGCCCAAGGCTGGATTATGTGGCCCTGACAGTGCTTTCCATTTAGTGGGGGCATACATAGACAAGTAATTATGTATTTTTAAGAAAGTGAGATAAGTACTATGGATAGAACCTTATAAAGGAAGTACTGTTAGTTGGGGAGTGTATTTTATGTTTCAAGTTATTCTTTCCAATGTGAAACCTTGCAGTTTTACCTGGGTACACTCTATATACTGCACTATGAAATCAGGACAAGGATTCTTAACGGTTTTGAACAGACATTAATCAAGGCCAGTGGGCAAAGTGGGAAGAGGCCCGTAGGGGGCAGCAGAGGACCACATACAACGAAAGTCATCGGCGGGGGCAAGTGCTTGTGCAGGGACCTCTGTAATTAGCCAGGGGGTTAAACCCTTTGCCCTTTTATCCTCCGTAGTTAATAAGGATAAAAGCTAAAGGAGTTGAGGTGTAAAAACTCACAAACACAAGTGCCTATAGAGATGTGACAAGAAACATACTTCTGTGAATGTGACCAATGAAAGACAAAAGGTGATGAAGGTCTGTGGCCAAGTTGAGAGTACATGCTCTACCTGGAGGCATGCAAGTGAATTCAAAAGCATGCAAATGAAACAGAGCTTTGCTAGGCAATCCACATGTGATATCTCTGCACATGTGCTGTGAGTTGGTTGCTCTGGGATGCTATCTGAAGAGGGTGGGAATGGCAGACCATACCAAGCCAGAAAGGAACCCCTTTTGAAGATGGAAAGGGGGCAGGAAATGTCAGCTGAGTGAGAACTAGAATCAGGACTCGAAAAAGATGGAAATGAGGATTTAGCTGAGGTCAATTATAGGGGAGTAAGTAAGGATGGTGGTCAATAGTGATGTGAGGGCTGAGGAAGAAGTGATGGAATTACTACTTATTGGGTACCTACTGTGTGTATCATCAAATACATATATGTTTGATGATATTATATATATATGTGTGTATATATATAGTACTATATATGTGTATATATAGTACTATATATGTGTATATATAGTACTATATATGTGTATATATAGTGTATATATGTGTATATGTGTATATATAGTGTATATATATACACACATATATAGTACTATATATATACACACACATATATATAACATACATAACATATCTATAACATATATGACATATCTATATAACATATATATATATAACATATATATATATCTTCTCTTAATTCTAATGACAACCCTTGGGAAGAATGAGTTATTTTCCTCATTTGCACATGAAAAAACTGTATCTCCTTATGCAAGTTCACACAGAACTCAGGCCTATCTAGCTCTAACTCCAAGTCTCTAAAGTAGGTGGGAGAATTGGTAAATCGAGGCTTGGTAATCAACCACAGGTTGGCAATAAGGTACTATTAGAGTTGTGGGCCAGTGCTTTTTAAGATTTAAAGTGCATCTGAATCCCCATGTAGGAATAAAGATTCTGACTTAGGAGGCATTGGATGAGGGTTGAGATTCTGTGTGTCTAATAAGCATTAGATGAGGCCTGAGATTCTGCGTGTCTAATAAGATAGATGATGTCCATGTTGCTGGCTCTGTAGATCTGTAGAAGCGAGGTTCCAGGCCAGGTTCAACTAGACCTGATATTGTTGCAATAGGCTTTATTGTACTCTCTAACTCAAAAGGCCAGAGTAGATTGAAGAAAGTAACTTTTATGGGGATGAGGGGCTTAATTGCACACAACCTAGTTTCTGAGCTGTGAGATCTTCTGTCAGAAGATCTGGATTTTAATCTGTCCTCCACTAATTCCTACCTGAGTGATTTTGAGCAAAGCAACTACCTTCTTGAAGAATTAGTTGCCTCATCTACATAATGAGAATAATAAAAGTATCTACTATGAAATGAATAGTAACACACTTTTGCAATGTTAGTATTTCGTACTGTCAAATGTGACTGATCAAGATCATGGCACAATTTTGAACATCATAATCATCATCATACTTTTATATTTACACTCTGTTGAGGATGGATATCTTGTAATATTATTAAACATATACTCTTACTTTTAAGTTTACTCTCACTTTCTAAACTTACTTTTCCTGGACAGTACTAGGTTAAGGCTCCCACTTGAAATATCTCTGGTCTAACCCAATGTCTTGAGCTTCTCCCATTTACTCTGAACTCCTCACTGCCATGTTGCCATAATTCCCTATTGGAATAAATAAATATATACATGTGCCTTGCAAATAATTCAAAGTGAGAACTAGAGAAGCCATGTCTTTGGCTGGGACTATCTTCATTTTTCTTATCTCTTGTAAAATTTAACTGTGATATTTTGGAGATGACTCAATATTTGTGATAGAGGAGATTTTGATCTGTAAAGGATTGGAGATTGATGGTTTCCTGTGATTGACATCTTTTTGACTTCTTATACTCCCTCAAATCTCTAGATCTGGGTAGTGAACTTCATCACCTTTATATAGGGCTGTTTTTAAATTTGCATTTGAGTGACTTTTCTTGGATGCAGCTCGTTGGAGGGCCATGAAATACTGTTTATGGAGAAGGAAAATTAATATTGTGGTGACTGTATCTGGCAGATTTTTACATCTCCCCATTCATGTAATCATTTATATGAAACTTCCTTCAGTGGGCAACAACTCACAGTTGAGGGAATTTGTCTATAATAAACCACTTGGCTTATGTTACATCAAATTAGATCAGATCAATTTCCTTCCTTCTTAATTCCTTCCATATCACATCAGAATGCTTCTTAAATGAGATGCCTGCAAACAGATCTGGATCCTTAAGGGAATGTCAAACTACTTTTAGGAAAGAAGATTTCCTTTTTGTGAATGATCAATTGAGGAATGGCAGAATGCAGAACTAGGTATAGGAAAATATTTGAGCAGAAAAATAAATTTCTAAGATATACTATTTTAATTTGTTGCTAAGTCACTTTATATATTTTTGACTCTGAAAGCTTGTGAAGTCCTTATTTTAACTCTTAAGGAAAGGATGTTGCTGCTTCATAAAGAATATAGAGAACAATGTTAATTTATAAAAGAAATAAGAGTCTAAGTGAGCATTACAATATTGGAAGGCCTCCTGTGGGTATACCACTTTATAATACTGATTTCCCACAAGCATATATCAGCTCATATTAATGCGCATATAGATAGGTACACCATCTGTTAGGGAGTTAAATGCCAGAAAACATTTCTATGGGTTTTCTTGAATCATACTAATTCAGAGAGTGTCTATGATACTTGATAAACTTGCTGACCAAACAGGTAAGAAGAAGTTGTGTTTACCTCTTGACATAAGAGTTTTTTCCCTTTCAGACATTACTTGAAACTTTGCCATCCTGGAAATGTCTGTAGGATTTATTGCCTTACATCCCATTTTGAATTTTTATTATTTTTCCATTCATCCTAATTTTTCCATTCATCTTTCTTGTGAATGTGTGTTCTTTCTCCATATAATTAACAGACAATAAAAGCTAAGTGATTACTATAGGGGTTGAATGGCTGGAATGATTTTTCTCTGCTCAAAGAAATGAATGTACATAATCACCTGGGTAATCAAACAAAGTAAGAGAAAGAGAAAGACCAATTTATTTCAACTTATTTCCTCCAAGATAAAATTGGATAATACAATATACTGTGGTTGGATGCATAGAGTATCAAGTTACTTAGTAGTAATTAGAATTTTTATATCAAGTGTTGACCTGCACTCTATATGGATGGTTAAAGGAGAAAGACAACGAGAAAAACTTGTAGCTCAGTAACACATGAAATCCTTAGACTAGCAGAACTGTCAAGATCATGTTAAATATAAAAACAGATTTGAATAACTTTTTCAAACAGACAACTCAAATAACTCAGGAGAGGAGACAAATATTAAAATTCTATGGCTTGGGTCATATCTCATATCATAGACAGAGTGTTTGTGTGCTTTGTACCATGGCTACAAGTCATAGGAAAATCAGCAAGAAGAGAGGAATTCTTGTGGGATGTTTGAATCAATTCATGTCATATTTTAAGCACAACTTTTCCCCCCACTGGGTGAATATATAATGTCTATTTTCATGTGCAATAATAACTCGGCTGATATTTTTGGAAATTCTTTGTTGGTTTTATTTCTCTTTGTATTTTTATTTAGTTTACTTGTTTGTTTATTCATATATTTAATTTTTGTAGAGAAAGGATCTCACTATGTTGCCCAGTCTGGTCTTAACTTTTGGCCAAAAGCAATTTTCCTGCGTCAACCTCTCAAAGCGCTAGGATTAGAGGTGTGAGACACCATGCTCAGACTATTCATTTGTTTTTAAAGACATTAGACAGACACTGGACAGGTAATGTACCAGACTCTAAATATCCCCAAAGTGTAGATTTTTCTTTTTTTAAAATTTAATATAAATAAATAAATTAATTAATATTTAAATTTGAGATTTGGGGATACATGTGCAGGTTTGTTACTTGGGTATATTGCATAATTCTGAGGTTTACGGTATGAATGATTCCGTCACCAAGGTCCTGAGCATAATACCCAATAGGCAGTTTTTCAGCCCTTGCTCCCCTCTTTCCCTTTCTACTCTAGTAGTCTCCAGTGTCTATTGTTCCCATCTTTATGTTCACATGTACCTGATGTTCAACCCCCTTATAAGTGAGAAGATGGCATTTGGTTTTCTTTTTTTTTTTTTAATTATACTTTAAGTTTCAGGGTACATGTGCACAACGTGCAGGTTTGTTACATATGTATACATGTGCCATGTTGGTGTACTGCACCCATTAACTCATTATTTACATTAGGTATATCTCCTAATGCTATCCCTCCCCCATCCCCCCATCCCACAACAGGCCCCGGTGTGTGTTGTTCCCCTTCCTGTGTCCAAGTGTTCTTATTGTTTAATTCCCACCTATGAGTGAGAACATGTGGTGTTTGGTTTTTTGTCCTTGTGATAGTTTGCTGAGAATGGTGGTTTCCAGCTTCATCCACATACCCACAAAGGACATGAACTCATCATTTTTTATGGCTGCATAGTATTCCATGGTGTACATGTGCCACATTTTCTTAATCCAGTCTATCATTGTTGGACATTTGGGTTGGTTCCAAGTCTTTGCTATTGTGAATAGTGCCGCAATAAACATATGTGTGCATGTGTCTTTATAGCAGCATGATTTATATTCCTTTGGGTATATACCCAGTAATGGGATGGCTGGGTCAAATGGTATTTCTTGTTCTAGATCCCTGAGGAATCGCCACACTGACTTTCACAATGTTTGAACTAGATTACAGTCCCACCAACAGTGTAAAAGTGTTCCTATTTCTCCACATTCTCTCCAGCACCTGTTGTTTCCTGACTTTTTAATGATCGCCATTCTAACTGGTGTGAGATGGTATCTCATTGTGGTTTTGATTTGCATTTCTCTGATGACCAGTGATGATGAGCATTTTTTCATGTGTCTTTTGGCTGCATAAATGTCTTCTTTTGAGAAGTGTCTGTTCATATCCTTCACCCACGTGTTGATGGGGTTGTTTTTTTCTTGTAAATTTGTTTGAGTTCTTTGTAGATTCTGGATATTAGCCCTTTGTCAGATGAGTAGATTGCAAAAATTTTCTCCCATTCTGTAGGTTGCCTGTTCACTCTGATGGTAGTTTCTTTTGCTGTGCAGAAGCTCTTTAGTTTAATTAGATCCCATTTGTCAATTTTGTCTTTTGTTGCCATTGCTTTTGTTGTTTTAGACATGAAGTCCTTGCCCATGCCTATGTCCTGAATGGTATTGCCTAGGTTTTCTTCTAGGGCTTTTATGGTTTTAGGTCTAACATTTAAGTCTTTAATCCATCTTGAATTTATTTTTGTATAAGGTATAGGAAAGGGATCCAGTTTTAGCTTTCTACATATGGCTAGCCAGTTTTCCCAGCACCATTTATTAAATAGGGAATCCTTTCCCCATTTCTTGTTTTTCTCAGGTTTGTCAAAGGTCAGATGGTTGTAGATGTGTGGCATTGTTTCTGAGGGCTCTGTTCTGTTCCATTGGTCTATATCTCTGTTTTGGTACCAGTACCATGCTGTTTTGGTTACTGTAGCCTTGTAGTATAGGTTGAAGTCAGGTAGCATGATGCCTCCAGCTTTGTTCTTTTGGCTTAGGATTGACTTGGCAATGCAAGCTCTTCTTTGGTTCCATATGAACTTTAAAGTAGTTTTTTCCAATTCTGTGAAGAACATCATTGGTAGCTTGATGGGGATGGCATTGAATCTATAAATTACCTTCGGCAGTATGGCCATTTTCGCGATATTGATTCTTCCTACCCATGAGCATGGAATTTTCTTCCATTTCTTTGTATCCTCTTCTATTTCGTTGAGCAGTGGCTTGTAGTTCTCCTTGAAGAGGTCCTTCACATCCCTTGTCAGTTGGATTCCTAGGTATTTTATTCTCTTTGAAGCAATTGTGAATGGGAGTTCACTCATGATTTGGCTCTCTGTTTGTCTATTATTGGTGTATAAGAATGCTTGTGATTTTTGCACATTGATTTTGTATCCTGAGACTTTGCTGAAGTTGCTTATCAGCTTAAGGAGATTTTGGGCTGAGACGATGGGGTTTTCTAGATATGCAATCATGTCATCTGCAAACAGGGACAATTTGACTTCCTCTTTCAATGTAATCCAGCATATAAACAGAACTAACGACAAAAACCACATGATTATCTCAATAGATGCAGAAAAGGCCTTTGACAAAATTCAACAGCCCTTCATGCTAAAAAGTTTCAATAAATTAGGTATTGATGGGACGTATCTCAAAATAATAAGAGCTATTTATGACAAACCCACAGCCAATATCATACTGAATGGGCAAAAACTGGAAGCATTCCCTTTGAAGACTGGCACAAGACAGGGATGCCCTCTCTCACCACTCCTATTCAACATATTGTTGGAAGTTCTGGCCAGGGCAATCAGGCAGGAGAAGGAAATAAAAGTTATTCAATGAGGAAAAGAGGCATTTGGTTTTCTGCTCTTGTGTTAATTTGCTTAGAATAGTCGCCTCCAGTTGCATCTATGTTGCAGCAAAGAACATGATTTCATTCTTCTTATGGCTATGTAGCATTCCATGGTGTATATGTACCACATTTTCTTTATCCAACTAGCTGCTGGCATGGGCAACTGGGTTGATTCCATGTATTTGTTATTGTGAATCATGCTGCAATAAACATACAAGTGCAGATGACTTTTTGATAGCATAATATAAATTTCTTTGGATATATATCCAGTAATGGGAATGCCGAGTCAAATAGTAATTTTGCTTGTATTTCTTTGATGAATCTCCCAACTGCTTTCCCCGAGGGTTTAACTAATTTGCACTCGCACCAACAGTGTACAAGTGTTCCCTTTTCTCCACAAGCTTGCCAACATCTGTTATTTTCTGACTGTTAATAATAGCAATTCCAACTGCTGTAAATGGTAAGTCCTTGTGGTTTTGATTTGCATCTCTCTGATGATCAGTGACGTTGAGCATTTTTTTCACGTTTGTTGGCATTTTTATGTCTTCCTTTGAGAAGTGTCTGTTTATGTTATTTGCCCATTTTAAAAAATGGAGTTATTTGTTTTGTTGTTGATTATTTATTTAAATTCCTTATAGATTCTGGATATTAGTCCTATATTGGATGCATAGTTTGTGAATATTTTTTCCCATTCTGTAGGTCATCTGTTTACTCTGTTAATAGTTTCTTTTGCTGTGCAGGAGCTCCTTAGTTTAATTATGTCTCAATTGTCAATTTTTGGTTCTGTTGCATTTGCTTCTGAGAGCTTAGTCATAAATTATTGGCCTAGGCCAATGTCTGGAAGAGTATTTTCTAGGTTTTCTTCTCGGATTTTAATATCTTGAGGTCTTACATTTAAATCTTTAATCCATCTTCAGTTAATTTTTTTATAAGGTGAGAGGTGGGCATCTAGATTTACTCTTCCCCATATGGTTAGCCAGTTTTCTCAGCACCATTTATTGAATAGGCTATTATCTTCCCATTGTTTACTTTTGTTGATGATCAATTGATTGTAGATGTGCAGCTTTATTTTGGGGACTCTATTCTGTTCCATTGGTTGATGTCTCTATTTTTGTACCAGTAACATGCTGTTTTTGGTTACTATGGCCTTGTAGTATATTGAAGTTGAATAATATGATGCTTCCAACTGTATTCTTTTTTTTTCAGAATTGGTTGGATATTTGGGCTCTTTGTTGGTTCAATATGAATTTTAGAATAGCTTTTTCTAGTTCTGTGAAATACGATATTGGTAGCATTGTATCTATAGATTTTCTTTGTCAGTATGGACAATTTAATGATGCTTTTCTTCCCATCCATGAGCATGGAATGCTTTTCCACTTATTTGTGTTGTTTATGATATTTTTCAGCAGTGTTCTATAGCTCTCCTTGTAGCAAGATTTTATCTCCCTTGTTGGATGTATTCCTAGGTATTTTATTTTTTGTTGCCATTATAATGGGATTGTGTTCTTGATTTGACTCTCAACTTGATTGTTATTGGTAAACTGATTTTTGTACATTGATTTTATATCCTGAGACTTTGCTGAAGTTGTTTGTTAGGTCTAGGAGATTTTGGCAGACTCTTTAGGGTTTTCTAGGTATAGAATCAGCAAAAAGATAATTTGCCTTCCTCTTTGCCTATTTGGATGCTTTTTCTTTCTTTCTCTTGCTTGATTGCTCTGGCTAGGACTTCCAGTACTATGTTGCATAGGACTGATGAGAGTGGTGACAGTGGACATCCTTGTATTGTTCCAGTGCTAGGACTTCCAGTACTATGTTGCATAGGACTGATGAGAGTGGTGACAGTGGACATCCTTGTATTGTTCCAGTTCTTCAGGGGAATGTTTTCAACTTCCATTCCATATATTATTTGATGATGGCTATGGTTTTGTCATAGATGATTCCTTATTTTGAGGTATATTTCTTTGATGCCTAACTTGTTGAGAGTTTTTATCATGAAGAGATATTGAATATTATCAAACACATTTTCTGCATCTATTGAGACAATCCTATGGTTTTTGTTTCTAATTCGGTTTATGTAGTGAATAACATTTATTGATGTGTAAGTTGAACCATCCTTGCATCCCAAAAGAAAGCCCATGTGATTGCGGTGAATCAAATTTTTGATGAACTACTGGATTCAGTTTGCTAGTATTTTATTGAGGATTTTGTGTCTGTATTTATCAGGGATATTGACTTGTAGTTAACTTTTTTGGTGTATGTCTTTGCCAGATTTTGTTAAGAGGATCATACTGGTTTTGGAGAATGAGTTAGGAAACAGTTTCTCCTCCTTGATTTTTTGGAGTCGTTCCAGTGGGATTGGTACCAGCTTTGTAAGTCTACTAGAATTCAGCCATGAATCTATCTGGTCCTAGGCTCTTTTGATTGGTAGGTTTTTAATTACTGATTCAATTTTATTATTTATTATTGGTTTGTTCAGGATTTCTGTTTCTTCTTGGTTCAGTCTTGGAAGGTTGTATGTTTCCAGGAATGTATTGATTTCCTTGAGATTTTCTAGTTTGTGTGCATAGAGATGTCTCTGAGGAACTTTTGTGCTTCTGTGGGATCAGTTGTGATGTCACCTTTGTCCTTTCTGTTTGTACTCATTTGGATCTTCTCTTTTTTTCCTTTGCTAATCTAACTAGTGGTTTATCAATCACGTTTATCCTTTCAAAAAAGTAACTTTTTATTTTTCTGTTCCTTTATGTGTTTTTTGGAGGTCTTAATTTTATTTAGCTCTGGTCTGATTTTACTTATTTCTTTTATCCTGCTAGCTTTGGGTTGTTTGTTTTTTCTAGTTCTTTCAGATGTAAGGTTAGGTTGTTAGTTTGAGATCTTTCTGTCTTCTTGATTTAGGTGTTTAGTGCTGTAAACTTTCCTCTTAACACTTCTTTTCTATATCCCACAGGTTTTGCTATGTTGTATCTCCATTTCCATATGTTTCAAAGAATTTTTTTATTTCTGTCTTAATTTCGTTATTTACCCAACAAAAGCCATTCAGAAGCAAGTTGTTTAGTTTCTGTATGTTTGTTTGGTATTGTGAGTTCCTCATTGCAGTTTGAGAAGATGCTTGGTATGATTTTGATTATTATGAATTTATCGAGACTTGCTTTATGACTGAGCATATGGTCAATCTTAAAGTACATGCCACATGCATATGAGAAAAATGTATATTCTGTGGTTGTTGGATAAAGTATTCTGTAGATGTGATTAGGTCTGATTGGTAGAATGTTGAATTTAAGCCCAGAATTTATTTTTTAGTTTTCTGCTTTGATGATCTATTTAAAGCTGTCAGTGGGATGTTGAAGTCCTACACTATTATTGTGTGGCTGTCAAAGTCTTATTTTAGATCTAGAAGTAATTGTTTCATAAATCTGGATGCTCCAATGTTTCCCTTTGTGGTTTCCTTGTCCCTTTTTTGGCTGAGTAGTGGCTGCAACACATCAGTCCAACCTCAGGCTGAAGGTGAGTTGCATTCCAGTGTTAAACTCTTGAAATGATGCCTTGGGACTGGGACCAGAGAGGGTGGGGCATCACCTAGGCAAGCAGCATGAGCAGAAAACTGTGAGGAGTGCAGGCCACTTGCATCTCAGCCTCAATAGCAGCTTGCAAGAGGGCAGCAATTACCCTCCTGGGAGTGTGCCTTTCTCCCTTCCTCTCCCTCCTTGGAGCAGTGCAGTGGCTGCAGCCCTATATCTAGGTACCCAGTATTTTAAACAATGCATTTTAAAGGAATGACAAAAACCACAGTTACTTTTGCACCAGCATAATATTTAGGATAGTTAAATCTTTTTTTGAATGAAATCCTTCATCATTATGTAATGTCCATTTGTCCCTTTTTTACTGTTGTTGGTTTAAAGTATGTTTTACCTGATATAAGAATAGCCATCCCTGCTGTTTTTTGTTTTCCCTTTGCATGACATATCTTTCTCCATCCCTTTACTTTGAGCCTATGGGTGTCATTATGTGTTAGATGTGTCTCTTGAAGACAGCAAAAGGAATGATCTTGTTTTCTTTATCCAATTTGCCACTCTATTTCTTCTTAGTGGAGCATTTAGACCATTTACATTCAAGGTTAAAATTGGTATGTGAGGTTTTATTGCTGTCATAATGTTGTTAGGTAGTTGCTCTGTAGTCTCAATTATGTAGTTTCTTTATAAGGTCAGTGGGCTATGTGCTTGCATGTGCTTTTGTGGTAGCAAGTATCATTCTTTTATTTCGGTGTTTAGAATTCTCTTAAGCCTCTCTTGTAGGACTGGTCTAGTGACGATGAATTTCTTCAGCAATTGTTTGTCTGCGAAAGACTTTATTTCTCCTTCATTTATGAAGTTTAGATTGGTGGGATATGAAATTATTGGCCGGCATTTCTTTTCATCAGTGATGCTGCAAATGGGTCCCAGACTCTTCTACCTTCTAAGGTTTCTGCTGAGAAGTCTGTTGTTTGTCTAATGGGTTTCCCTTTGTAGATAATATTACCCTTTTCTCTAGTTGCCTTTAAGATTTTTCCCTTTTGCGTTGACCTTGGATAGTCTGATGATTATCTGCCCTGGGGATCGTCTTCTTGCATAGTATCTCCCATGAGTTTTCTGGATTTCTTGTATCTGTATATTGACTTCTCTAGCAAGTTTGGGGAAATGTTCCAGAATTATATCCTCAAATATGTTTTCCAAGTTGCTTACTTTCTCTTCTTTCTTGGCAATTCCAATAAGTCACAGATTTGGTGGCTTTACATAATCTGATATTCTAGAAGTCTGTTCATTTATAAAATACTTTTTTCTGTATTTTTGTCTGTCTGGGTTGATTCAAAGGACTGTTTCTTTGAGCTCTGAGATTCTTTATTCTGCTTGGTCTAGTGTGTTATTAATGCTTTCAACTGTATTTTGAAATGTCTGCAGTGGGTGTTTCAATTCTTTATTTTATTTTATTATTTATTTATTTATTATTATACTTTAAGTTCTGGGATACATGTGCAGAATGTGCAGATTTGTTACATAGGTATAAATGTGCCATGGTGGCTTGCTGCACCCGTCAACCCGTCATCTACATTAGATACTTCTCCTAATGCTATCCCTCCCTTAGCCTCCCACCCCTCAACAGAACCTGGTGTGTGATGTTCCCCTCCCTGTGTCCATGTGTTCTCATTGTTCAACTCCCTCTTTTGAGTGAGAACATGCAGTGTTTGGTTTTCTGTTCCTGTGTTAGTTTGCTGAGAATGATAGTTTCCAGCTTTATCTGTGTCCTGCAAAGGACATGAACTCATCCATTTTTATGGCTGGATAGTATTCCATGGTGTATATGTGCCACATTTTCTTTATCCAGTCTATTACTGATGGGCATTTGGGTTGGTTCCAAGTCTGCTTTTGTGAATAGGGCTGCAATAAATATACATGTGCATGTGTCTTCCAGTAGAATGATTTATAATCCTTTGGGTATATACCCAGTAATGAGATTGCTGGGTCAAATTGTATTTCTGGTTCTAGATCCTTGAGGAATCACCACACTGTCTTCCACAATGGTTGAACTAATTACACTCCCACCAACAGTATAAAAGCATTCCTATTTCTCCACATCCTCTCCAGCATCTGCTGTTTCCTGACTATTTATTTATTTATTTATTTATTTATTTATTTATTTATTTGAGATGGAGTCTCGCTCTGTCACCCAGGCTGAAGTGCAGTAGCACGATCTCGGCTCACAGCAAGCTCCGCTTCCCAGGTTCATGCCATTCTCCTGCCTCAGCCTTCCGAGTAGCTGGGACTACAGGGGCCCGCCACCACACCCAGCTAATTTTTTTTGCATTTTTAGTAGAGACGAGGTTTCACCGTGTTAGCCAGGATGGTCTTGATCTCCTGACCTCATGATCCGCCCGCCTCGGCCTCCCAAAGTTCTGGGATTACAGGCATGAGCCACCGTGCCCAGACCAGTTTCCTGACTTTTTAATGATTGCCATTCTAACTGGCACAATGAGATGGTATCTCATTGTAATTTTGATTTGCATTTCTGTAATGACCAGTGATGATGAGCTTTTTTTCATATGTTTATTGGCTGCATAAATGTCTTATTTCGAGAAGTGTCTGTTCATATCCTTCATTCACTTTTTGATGGGGTTGTTTTTTTCTTGTAAATTTGTTTAAGTTTCTTGTAGATTCTGGATATTAGCCCTTTGTCAGATGGATAGAATGCAAAAATTATCTCCCATTCTGTAGGTTGTCTATTCACTCTGATGATAGTTTCTTTTGCTGTGCACAAGCTCTTTAGTTTAATTAGATCCCATTTGTCAATTTTGGCTTTTGTTGCCTTTGCTTTTGGTGTTTTAGTTATGAAGTCTTTGCCCATGCCTATGTCCTGCATGGTTTAGAAAAAAAAAAAAAAAAAAGCAGTGTTTATAGGAAAATTTATAGCGCTAAATGCCCACAGGAGAAAGTGGGAAAGATCTAAAATAGACATGCTAACATCACAATTAAAAGAGAAGCAAGAGGAAACAAATTCAAAAGCTAGCAGAAGACAAGAAGTAACTAAGATCAGAGCAGAACTGAAGGAGATAGAGACATGAAAAACCCTTCAAAAACTCAATGAATCCAGGAGCTGATTTTTTGGAAAGATTAACACAATAGACCTCTAGCCAGACTAATAAAGAAGAAAAGATAGAAGAATCAAATAGACACAATAAAAAATGATAAAGGGGATATCACCACTGATCCCACAGAAATACAAACTACCATCAGAGAATACTATAAACACCTCTACGCAAATAAACTAGAAAATCTAGATGAAATGGATAAATTCCTGGACACATACACCCTCCCAAGTCTAAACCATAAATAATTTGAATCCCTGAATAGACCAATAACAAGTTCTGAAATTTAGGCAGTAGTTAATAGCCTACCAACCATAAAAAGCCCAGAACCAGACAGATTCATAGCCAAATTCTACGAGAGGTAAAAAGAGGAGCTGGTACTATTCCTTCGGAAACTATTCCAAACAATAGAAAAAGAGGGAATTCTTCCTAACTCGTTTTATGAGGCCAGCATCATCCTGATACCAAAACCTGGCAGAGACACAACAAAAAAGGAACATTTCAGGCCAATATCCCTGATGAAAATCAATGTGAAAATCCTGAATAAAATACTGGCAGACTGAATCCAGCCGCACATCAGAAAGTTTATCCCCATGATGAAGTCAGCTTCATCCCTGCGATGCAAGGCTGGTTCAACATACGCAAATCAAAAAACGTAATCCATCACATAAACAGAACCAACAACAAAAACCACATGATTATCTCAATAGATGCAGAAAAGGCCTTCGACAAAATTCAACAGCCCTTCATGCTAAAAACTCTCAATAAACTAGGTAATGATGGAACATATCTCAAAATAGTAAGAGCTGTTTATGACAAACCCACAGCCAATATCATACTGAATGGGCAAAAGCTGGAAGCATTCCCTTTGAAAACCGGCACAAGACAAGGATGCCCTCTCTCACCACTCCTATTCAACATAGTATTAGAAGTTCTGGCCAGGGCAATCAGGCAAGAGAAAGAAATAAAGGGCATTCAAATAGGAAGAGAGGAAGTCAAATTGTCTCTGTTTGCAGATGACATGATTGTATATTTAGAAAACCCCATCATCTCAGCCCCAAATCTCCTTAAGCTGATAAGCAGCTTCAGCAAAGTTTCAGGATACAAAATCAATGTGCAAAAATCACAAGCATTCCTGTACACCAATAATAAACAAAGAGTCAAATCATGAGTGAACTTCCATTCACAATTGCTATAAAGAGAATAAAATACCTAGGAATCCAACTTACAAGGGATGTGAAGGACCTCTTCAACAAGAACTACCAACCACTGCTCAGGGAAATAAGAGAGGACATGAACAAATGGAAAAACATTTCATGCTCATGGATAGGAAGAATTCTATGTTAACATTTCGTGTTAATAATATCGTGAAAATGGCCATACTGCCCAAAGTAATTTATAGATTCAATGCTATTCTCCTCAAGCTACCATTGACTTTCTTCACAGAATTAGACCATTTCCATTCTTAAAGTTCTGTTAGGTTCTTTCTCAATATATGTCTTCTTTCAAATCTTGGATTGTTTTTCTGGCTTGTGTTGGATTTCAGCTTCCTCTTGGATCTCATTGAGTTACTTTTGAATCCATATTCTGAATTCTACAACTGTCCTTTCAGATATTTCATTCTTGTTAGGATTCATTGCTTGGGAGCTAGTGGGATCCTTTGCAGGTGATGAGTCACTCTGGCTTTTTGTATTGCTGGAGTTCTTGTGCTGGTTCCTTTTCATCTGAGACAGCTGACATCTGTAGCTGTTGTTGTTGTTGTTCTTCTTCTTGTCTTCTTCTTTGAATTTGTTATTGTTTAGATGCGGCTTCTTGATGTTTTTATTCTTTTTTCCTTTGGGGGTATGACTGCAATGTATATTGTGTACAATTAAGTGGCTTAGATTCTGGGTGCTTTTAAGGTGCCAAGGCTACTTGATTGCAAATAGTTTTGTACAGTGGCTCTCTCAGATGTTGCTTGTTGTGGTGATGTAATTTTGTTTGGCAATATCATTCAGGCTTCAGTCCAGTAGGTGTGGCTTATAAGTAAGAGCTAGCAGGTAGGACCATGGGCAGAGGCAATAGAGTATTGCAGAAACCACTCTACTGCAGCATTCATTTGCCTTCAATTGGGATGGAACAGCTGGAGAAGCCTCAGTTGTGGGCCCATCCTCTCTGGGCCCGACAAGAAGAGTCACTGCTAAGTCTATGACAGTGTACTAAGGTTGGGGTGGGGGGCAAGAGCTAACCCTCTCTATGTCTATTCCCAGGGTTTGGTGCTGCTGCCTTCAGTGGCTGGAGATATGTTCATGTTTCCTTTGACTCAAAGTGGGCTTTGATGGGTTATGCTTTCCTCTCCCTTAGGGGCTGACTGTACTGAGTGTTAGATCTCCAGGGGAGTGGGTTCGCCTCCCTTCCACTCATCAGGGCTGATGGGGCACTCTCCTGCAACTGACCAAGGGAGCAGGCTGAGGCACTCAGCAGTGGCATAACCAGAGTGGTTCCAGGTTGCAAAGTTATCCCTGGCTGCGACTCTTGCCCCTCAGGAGACACCTCAGCCTCAGCTACTTTCCTCCTGCTCTGGTCTTGTGGTGGGAGAGAGCCTAATTCTGACACCTACTGCTGGGACACTCTCCACATTTACCACTCAATTCTGGCTGTGGGTGCTCTTCTTCCATTCCAGAGCAAGTGCTTCAGTCTCTGGCTTGAGAACAAAGTGCCTGCTGTGGCTACCACTGCCACGTTGCCAGACAGTGTCTCTAAACTCTCAAAATGGTGCCAACTGTGGGCTTGTGACCAGAGAGGGCAGGGCTTCTATCAGGTTGACATAGTATCATGGGCAAGAAGCTGTCGGGAGTATGGTCTACTCAAGTCTTGGTCTCACTGCAGCCCATAATAGGGCATTGGGTATTGTCCTGGGTATGCATAGAAGGCCCTGGATTCCCTGTCCCTCTGGCTAGGTGGGGGCTACAGCTGTGTCAGCCCAAATTCAGGCTGAGGGTGGGGCACAGCCTGGCATTGTACTCTCAAAATGATGCCTTGGGCCTGCATCCAGGGAGGGTGGAGCACTGCCCAGGCAAGCAGCACGGACAAGAAGCTGTAGAGAGTGCAGTTCACTGGCATCTCAGTCTCACAGCAGTCTGTTGCAAATCAGTGGGTATTGCTTATGTTAAATATGTGTATGATGGCCTGGTTTCCCCGACCCTTTTTTGGCTGGGCAGTGGCTGCAGCACATCAGTCTAAGCTCAGGCTGAAGGTGGGGTGCATTCCATTGTTAAACTCTTGAAATGATGCCTTAGGACTGGAACCAGAGGGTGTGGGGAATCATCTAGGCAAGAAGTGTGAGCAAGAAACTGTAAGGAGTGCAGGCCACTTGTATCTCAGCCTGAACGGCAGCTTGTAAGAAGGTAGCAATTACCCTCCCGGGGGTGTGCCTCCCTCCCTCCCTCTCCCTCCTTGGAGCAGTGCAGTGGTTGTAGCCCTATGTGTAGGTACCCAGTATCTGGGCTCTCAAAATGGCTCCCAGCTGAGGCTGCTCCAGGCTTGGATGCCTGTGAGATTTTGTGTGGGTTCCCTTTCTGGAGCAACAGCTCTGTGCAAACTTCAGGCAGCTCTGTACAACAGGGATGAGGATCCAGTGGATAGAGGGTTTCTCCCATGACCTAGATCATTAAAGCCTGTTTTAGAGCTTTAGGGATTTCTCTCTTATTGTTTTCCCCCATCTAGGAGCCTCTCCTGGCTCCTATTCAGTCCCCACCTGGGCAAGATGCCTTGAATCCTCTACTTAGTTACTTCTGGTACTTCCCTTCTCTTTGATGAATTCAAGGCATTCTCTCCTAGATGATCTGTTCTGAATGTTTCTACTTACTATTCTAGCTCTTCTCTGTGGAGGAGACACACACCACTTGTGTCTAGTCAGCCACTTTGATCCCTTCCAAATTCAGATTTTTCTTTGTTGTGGAAGTGTCTGATAAAACCTGGAGGCTGATAGCGTGCTTATCATATGATAGACATTCAGTTACTATTTGGTGATGATGATGGATTTTAGGTCAAATATATCTTGAGAGCTAGAGTCTTTTTGTGAACAAGAGTAATAAAAAGAACAAATTATTAAACATTTATTTTAGGCAAGATGCTAAACATTCTGTATGGATTTAAAAAAAGGCATTGTTAAACTAACCCTAGGAGACAGATATTATTTTCCCTATCTCAGAGATGGAAACAAACTAAAATGAAAAAAAGAAGAAACAGAGTTAGAGGTATTGACCAATATTTTAGTTAGAAACTGGACTGCTTGAGTCCTGCTTTGAAGCAAGATATTTTTACCCTAGAGTTTCTCCTCTTAACCAACCACTACATTATTCTGCCTTTGCCATGTGATGCTCCAAAGTTGTGCTAATAACCATCCAAGAGGTAATTTAAGGGAAGCACTGAATTCAGTAAAGAAGTCTATCATAGAAAGTACACACTTTTGGACCAATTTGGTATGGTAACAGGAAGTCTTGATTTTTATAGAAGATGGCTTGTTAGATACCAGTTTAATTAGCCAACTTCCTCTTGGGTCTCAATGTACTTGTTATCTCCATCTACTCTGTGACTGACCCTGATAATTGTTTGTCTCCTGCAGCTGGCAATGTGCCTTAACGAAATAGCTATGTAGTAAGTGAGTTGCTGTCTACATGTTTTATGCCACAAAAATGAATGGAGTATGCCAAGAAGTGACAAGTGTGAGAGGGCAGATAAGTTTATTTAGCCATAATGTACATGACATGTAAAATATTAAAATATATAAATGTATATGCTTAGACTCATTATCTTTCATATTCTGTCTCTTCTTTATAAAACTGAATACGAATAGTTCTTAGAAGCCTATTGCAGAACAGGGCAATTCTTTTTTTTTTTCCTTCAACTTTTATTTTAAGTTCCAGGATACATGTGCAGGATGTGCAGGTTTGTTACATAGGTAAACGTGTGCCATGGTGGTTTGCTGCATACATCAACCCATCACCTAGCTATTAAGCCCAGCATCCATTAGCTATTCTTCCTGATGCTCTTCCTTTCCCCAACCCCTTGACAGACCCCAGTGTGTGTTTTTTCCCACCATGTGTACATGTGTTCTCATTGTTCATTTCTCGCTTATAAGTGAGAACATGTGGTGTTTGGTTTTCGAGAACAGAGAAATTCTATTCTAGGGCCAAGAGGTAGCACAGGGCTCATTTCAAGATGCAGCAGAGGCTTGCTCTATTGTCTACCTGGAGCAGGGAGTAGATTTCCCAAATGCATAACTTGAAAACTCCCAGAGTTTTCTTCAACAGAGGTATTATATGACTTCCAGAAGTTAAAGACCATGCTTTTCAGCCAGGAGGTATATACCTTGAATTATTTCTTATACGCTAAAATTATTTCTCATAGGTTAAAAATATTTAGAGCTGCTATGCAGATAAATAGAATAATGCCATTTTCCTTACAAAAAAAGGTCGATAAAGTAATTATCAGAATTCTTTATTTTTAGTTTGTTTCTAGCCAAGTAGGGATCAAGCTCTTTATTTTAGAATACCTAAACAAGTATCCCCAAACTTGTATGACATTTCTGCTTTTATAGTCTGGAAATACTCCAGCAGATTTGACATTCACCAAAATTATTCCCTTCTATTTTTTCACCTAATTTATATATTTTGTTATATTTATTCCTGTACAATTAATGCTCCCTAAATTGGAAGTTTATTGTTGTAATCTTGCCTTTATTCTCTTATTTTCATTATTTTAGTTTACAAATTAGTTGCATACATGTGTTATGATTATTGTGACAAGTGTCAGAATATTGTTGTTTTTAAAATCACTCTGAAATTTTTATCTTATCTTTTCTTAGTCAAATTTTGCATAGATGCAAAACCATTCTAACTCTAATAAGATTGAAATCAGCCATATTTTGCAGAACAATTTCAGCTTTTGTGCTGTTTTAAATTTTATTTATGTTTTATGTTACAATAATATCTGATTTTTCTAAGAAGCAGAAAAAGTGTATATATTTTTATCCAACAGTCGTTGCCTTCCAAGCCTCTTTTTTTTAACAAGTTTTCAGCATAAGTGTCAAGCTAAATCATTTTTTACTTCAGAACTCTAGTGTTCTGTATATTAGAGGTAACCTCCATTATATTATAAGCTATTCTTCAGTAACGGCTTCTCCTTCTGAAAAGGATCTATCTCTTTACTGCTTAGTGCCCACTGGTAAATTTTACTTGGTTGTGGATGAAGAACTGGGAAAACCAATTATCTCAGCCTTGCACATTTCCCTAGTCAGGGATCAGTCATGTGCTTTAATCATGGTGTCATGTAATGCCCAAGCTGTTTCTGGCTTTGCACTGAATTGCCACAACTGCCTATCATACTTCGACTACTCTTGAAAATAGATCCACATCTCTTCGGTTTTATTGCCTGATTCATGGGCATATATTTTGCATTGGCGATAGTGTAGTGTGATGAAGGAAACATTAAAAATTCAGTGTCAGAAGGTCTGATTTCAGTGCTGGCTCTACCAATCATTAAACATTTGATGTTGGGCACATTGCTGATCCTGAGCAGTTGAGTTTCAGAAGCTTCAATGATAAAATGTGGTTTATTAAAACAACAATTTTAAAAATTTAAGGATTTTCACAATTTAAGCTTATATTTGTATATGATGAGTTTTATTACATATTTATAAGGTTATATATAATTATATGTAAATATAGTTTTAATTATATATTATAAATTATATGTTACATTTTACACATTACACATTACACATTACAGTATGTGTTATATGCTATGTATGCAAATATATGTTTTTCCTTTTGGTTTTATTTCAAAATGATGTGCTTTATCCCAGATGAATCAGTGTATTCACTCCTTTGTCTTTTTTAGTTTCAGACATTACTTCTTTTTTGCTCTCAAAGCATGGCAGGGGACTTCAGCAGTCTCTTGTTTAAATAGTTGCTCACCCTAGCATACTGGTTGATCTTAGAGAACATGGATTGTAATGTGTACCAATTCCCAATACTTAGGAGGCTCCCTAGACCTAGGAAGTGTTTGTTTCAGGTTCAAAATATTTCAAGGACAGTCTCTAGTCATTGTGTTTAATAGAGTCTGCAGTCTAAATCTAAATGTCATACTACTGGATGACCAAAATATCCTAGTAGCCCTAGAATGGGGAAATTAATTATGTCTAGCCTGTCAGCAAAGGTTCCACATTATAGCAAGCTCTAGTAGTTAAGTAAGATTATGTTAGTCAGTCACAGCTGGGGTAAACATAGATTCTAAGAAGAAAGAATAGTATAAGCAAATAGAGATGGAAAATTTCTATGAAGTGTTTGAGAAATGGTAAGAAGTCCAATTTTTAAATTTTTATGAATTTAAGTATATTTTATAAATTTAATATAAATAATAATATTCTTTATAAAAAGAGGAAAAGAATAAGAAAATAGCTTAAAAGGATCAGATTGTAAAAGGTATGTTTTGGGTGTTCAAAGCTGGGTTAAATCCGAAGTATCAGGGTCAGAATTTTTTTTTAATTACTCTGAGATTCTTGATTCATAATAAAAATATCATGATGATATTTTGTTTTATTTATTAATTATTTGACCCCATAGAGATAATCTTTGCATACACAAACACAAATGCTAGCAAAGATTATGATGAAGTATTAAAACTGGGAAAACTGGGCGATACATATTTGAACATAAAATTCCTCTAAAATATATTTATAAAAACCTGGTAGAGTTGATTGATAGTAGGATAAATTTTAGACCTATAGCCAACCCAACTTGGGGTTCAGCCTCATAAACTTTATTATATTTAGTTCCTCTATGCTTTCTACTATATTTAAGATGAATATTTTGGAGCTAGATGTGATATAATGATTTCAACTCCATTCCCCTCCCTCACAACAGCCTTACTGTCTACCTTGGAGACTAGAATCTGGCCCTGGTGATCATTTGTACTCACATTTGGACTGTTGAATTTCACAGGTTGAGAAGTCTAAGGTGAAGTAAGAGGCTTTTAAATCTTACATGTATTATGTAAATAAAAGTCTTTATATAATCCATGATTAGAAAAAAATTCAAGGAAGCAAAATGGAAGATGATGGAAAAACAGAGACTAGAGCTATGAGGACAAGTTAGATGTCAAGAAAAGGTTGTTGAAGAATTGAATTAGAGCAATGAGGATTTGATGTAGAGTGTATACTACTTGAGTGATTGTTAGGGAGTGAGAAATTGGAGAAGTTGAAGAAAATTCTGAAGTGTCTAGCGTGGGTACCTGGTTAATGGTGATACTGTTAACTGGTAGAGAAGAAAGAACAAGCTGAAACAATATGTTGAGAAAATGAAAAGGGTAAGGTGAATTAAATGGTTGAGGAATGTGGCAAAGGTTTAGAATATCCTCTTTAGGTAAAATAAATGGTAGCAATCATAGCAAAAGGGATGAATAAAAATTATATTTAACCTCAGTAATGTCACAGCTAAGATTGACAAACAGGGATTGGCTGGGCACATTACAAGGTGGCTGGGCTACATGATTCTCTAGTGAAATGTAAGATTGGATGGCACATACCACTTAGTAACAAATGAAAGACTATTGTGAATGACAGGGTTTGCCAATGAAGTGGCTCAGATTCCAGTTCGAAGGGAAGATAATCAGCGTAACTCTGCAACATCTGCACAGTTAGAAATAGAGAAAGATGATTCAAATCATATACTCAGCAGTAGATAGAGGCATCTACTGAAAAGAAAACCTGCTGCTTTATTTCAAAAATGCATTCCCACAGACTAATACATACTTTAATGTATTGGTGCCTACACATCCTGAATATAGAATTATATTTTATGTTATTTTAATTGCACCCCTCTTTTGTATATCTTAATAGAATTAGTGAATGAATCCAGGAATATTGCATCTTTAGGAAACTAATGGTCAGTGGTGTGTTTTGATCAATATCCAGTAGGGATTGAATGTGGGAAAATGATTTTATGAAAATATCCCTTTATCTTTTAGTGGCCTGTTCATTCAATTTTTATCCTAATGTTGCAGTGAGTTATTTTGCTTTTCTTATTTAACAGCTAACAGCAATGGCAACAAAACTTTTGCCTACCTCATTTGATTAGAGAATTTCAGTTGTTGGAAATAACACTCAAAATCCTAAGGAAATTGGACACTCAAACAAAGGATTTTAGCAAAGCAATTTTACTTCTGTGCAGAGGGGTGCTTCTCCTTGGCCAGTTGCCATGAGAGCACACCTGTACAAAGGGGTACAAGAACCTTTATTCCTGATGCAAGTCCTGTCCCTGTGCTCTTTCCCCATTGGGTCAGGCTGCACAATCTAAACTAGTCCCAGTTGGCTAAACATTTGAACTTTCTTTAGATAAGGTGGGCACATAAAGGAGAGAGGAGAAAGGAGAAGCCATGTTTGCAAGGAGCTAGAGAGCGTCTTCTTTCCAAATAAGGAAAGGAATGTGAGCTGGTGCTGATAACACCTGGTATTGTGGCATGTCTAGGCATGTAACAAAGGTAGAAAGAAACAAAGAGAAGAAAAAGAGAAAAAGTGGGGTACTATGAATTAAAGAATAAAGGATTGATCCAGCTATTTGAAGAGAAACCTTATCATATCTCACAGCTTTCTCCTTCTTCTTTGTTTTTATAGCTCTTTCTCTTCAAACCTTTTTAGCATAATTTGGCTCCGTTGTTCTACTTGGTCTTCTAGCAGGAAAAGCTCATTTGGATAAGGGGAAGGAGGGTGGTAAGAGGTTTTAGTGAGAGCTGTTTCAATGAGCTTTTGTATTAGTCCTTGGGCACAGGGTATGATGCAACATCCTACGAGAATAAGCAGCCTTATTCCCATGGCAAGAGAGATGAGGATTGAGGACATAAGTCTTTTCCATCTACCGAACCAATTTCCTATTAAATTTGTGAAGGGATCGTTTAGTCCAGAATTTTTGGATAGCTCATTTGATAAGGCGGTAAGACCTTGTAATGCTTTAGTTATGGTCCTGCCGGGAGCAGTATTATTAGGGATATAGGTACAGCATTGGGTCCTGATCATGACACAAACTCTACCTTCCTTTGCTAATATCATGTCTAATGCTATGGTATTTTCCTAGGCCATTTGAATGGTAGGCCCTAATTGTTTACCTATCCTTTTAATAGCAACTCTAGTATAATTAATACATTGTTGCCGATTGTAATAAATGTAATTTATCTAATTCACATTTTTATTTATAGTTAACCACTAGAAGAATGTGGATTCAAATCCGGCAGTTATTCAACTTTGAGCCTTAAATTCATTTGGCACTCCTTGTGGGACTTCAATGGCATTTATATAAACATGAGAATCAAAGGACTCAACGAAGGCCTCTCTTGTTTGACGATGTTTGATTCTTATCCTTTCTGGTTGGTGAAATGCCAGGGTGAAAGGGATGGCCAATTGAATCAGAGCACAAATTCCGCTCCAGTTACTTGGCAGAGTGTCCAGTATTGGTCCACCACAATATCACCACACATCCACTCGAGGATGGCTAAGGGCAGACTGATGGGTAAGCGCTTGGAAGGGCCTAAGCTCAGTGCATCCCGTTAAGTCCTAGGAACGCCAAGTTCTCCTTGTCATGAGAGACACGAAGTAAATTGGCATTGGGAGATGGACGCTGGATGGCCCTCGGGGGCTGACCTGCAGGGTGTTGAACTTCAGGGAACAGCAGAAAAAGAGCTTGGCATGATTTGTTCCCTCAGGCTGAGGGGTTTTGGAAGAGAGCTACCATATGGTTCATGCCTGGTCGGCTGGAAGACCATCCAAGTGGAAAGGGGACAGTCTGGGTCTCTGGTCTACTGTGCGCACAAACGTAGCATTCACTTTTGTTTAAAGTGCAGACGGAATATTTAATCTATTCCAGCCAAACATTTGCATCTTGATATCCTGTCTTTACAGCTATGGTTTGCCTTCAGTTTTCTACCTCCACAACCATTACCTTGGTTGGGTCATTTTGTAGATGGGAGGAGGACTTTGGACTCACTATACTTGGGGAGAGCGTTGGGTTCCATGTGTCTCTCAGACTCTGGGTCTGAATTTCTTTATTATTAACTAGTGGTTTAACTAACTTTAGAGAGAAGGTGCCTATAGGGTATTGTCTGGCAACGTCTGCTCCTAACCTATACCGTTCAAATATAGAGGGCTCTTGGGCCATTGTCTGGGATTATCTATAATCAGCAATAAGGGGTTACAGTGCAATGGCTTACAATTTGGTGGGGTGGGACCACGGACTAGTTGGAGTTTTTGTTTTAGTCCTTGTAACTTATTTGAAACAGGGGGCCTAGCTGCCCACCCTTTGTACTTAGTGGTCCACCAAACATCTGCATAGTCACTACAGGAACTTTTTAAAGCTCCATACTTAGTTGACTCTTTGTGGTATGGACATAGATAGTTATCAACATGGGATAGCTTCCTTTAAGCTTGCTCATCTCCACACGGGATGACTGGACAGGCATTGAACTGAAGGGTTAAATGATGGCTGGCCTGAACTACATTGACGACAAGAAGAACTTCTGTTGAGAAGAAAAAAGAAAATAAACAGTGATTATTAGGCTCTTTTTAGAGTTAGTTTGGTGGGGGTGAGCCTTGCAGTGACAGTCTATGATTCTGGAGGTGGCGGCATCTTTTTGACTCGGGTGTGATGAATCCGTCCTCTTTCAGCTGTCTGGACTGCAGTCTCAGTAGTTAGGAGCACTAGGTAGGGTCCTTCCCAATCTGGTTCGGGTTTCCTTTCCTTTCACCGTTTGATGAGGAGGACATGGTCTCCAGGCTGATGCTAATGTGCTGGAAACTCCAGGGGTGGTGCCTGTGCTAGGAGACCTTTAGTCTTAAGGAAGAGGAGGTAGAGGATAGACGAAGTACATAATTTTTGAGGAACTGATCTTTTGTTTAAAATGTAGGGATGTCAGCAGTGGAATATAAGTAGGGCAATCTGTAGAGCATATCATAAGGGGAAAGGCCAATGTCTCTCCGAGGGGCAGTCCAGATTCTTAACAAAGCAAAAGGGAAGACATTTAGTCCATGGCAATCAAGTTTCTACAACTAACTTAGTTAAGTAGTTTTTTAGAGTCTGATTCATCTGCTCTACTCTTCCTGAGGAGGATGGATGCCAAGGGATGTGGTACTCCTAATTTATATCTAATACTTAGGCTAACTTCTTAATGACATTTGCAGTGAAATGGGTTCTATTATCTGAATCAATATTTTCTATTAGTCCAAATCTGGGTACGATATTTTCAATTAATGCCTTAACTACATTATTGGCAGTTGCACTTGAGAATGGGATAGCCTCTACCTAGTGGTAAAGTGGTCTATTATTACTAATAAGTATTTTAAATGACTAATTGGGGGCATTTCAGTATAAACAATCTGAACACTTTGAGATGGTCTCATCCCTGGATTCCTTCCTCCAAAGGGTGATTTCCTCAGAATCTGCTTATTAGCCTTTTTACATATGAGGTGACTATCCGTAACTTGTTTGGCCAGGGTGTAAATTCCTATACACCCGTAAACCTGGAGAACTGCATCGCACATTGCTTGGGGTCCCCAGTGGGTCCTTTGATGTAATTCAGACAAGACCTCCTTAATGAGAGGTTTTGACAACATCTCCTTTTGATCTAGTAATATCTATTTCCTTTCTGTGTTTTTTTTAGCTCCTATTCTTATTAACTTCCCTTTTTCAATGGGAGAGAAAATGGGGGTTGCGGTAAGAGAAGGAAGGCATGGGGTTAAATGAAAAACAAGCATTTTGGAAGAAATGGAAACTTGCTTTGCTATCTGATCTGTGAGATTATTTTCTTTACTTGTGAAAGACAAGTCCTTTTGATGCCTTGGGACATGTACATTCGCTATCTCTTCTGGCAATTGGAGATTGTTGAGGACACGAACAATTAATTCTCTATGAACTAAATCTTGGCTTCTACTAATGATAAGACCTCTCTCCGTCCAAATTTTCCTAAATGTGTTTGCCACCTTAAAGGCATACTAGAGTCAGTATAGATAATTCCTTCTTGGTTTTATAAATGTTCTAAAGCTTGGCTGAGTGCAAACAATTCACATGTCTGGACAGACCAACTATTAGGCAGTCTTCCTGATTCTACTTCTTCAAGCGTTTCTCCATCAATTTCTGAAAAACTATTATGTCTTTTCCTTTCAATTAGCTGGGAGGACCTATCTATGAATAAGTGCTGCCCTGTCTTGAAGGGAGTTTCTCCTAAGTCTCCTAACTTTTATATGGTAATCAATCAAATCTAAGCATGCGTGCTCTTTTTTTTAGGTTTGGATCCTCTGTTAAGAAGCCTGCTGGATTAAGTGAATTATCAGTAGTTAATATTAAATCATCTTTCTTCAGTAGGATAGAGTGACTGGGTCTAAGACCTTTGACGAGAAGGCCATGGCTGTTGACGGCCTCCATGCTCCTGGATAAGCACTCCTAGAGTTACCTTGTTATTTACATTAACAAAAAGGTGAAATGGCTTTTCTATGGAGGGTAGAGTTAGAACAGGGGCAGTTACGAGCATCTCTTTTAATTCCTCAATTTGCTGGATATCCTCAGAAGTCCACAAGAGACGATCAGGCTTCCACTGGGCAAGTTCCTCATAAAAAAGTTTACTTTTTAATGCATATGAGTCAATCCATAAATGGCAATATCTAACTAGTCCTAAAAATTTCCTGAGTTCTTGTTTAATTTGAGGCAGGGGTAGGGAAACAATTCCCTCCACTCTTTCAGGTCCTATTCTTCATTTACATGCACTGATTAGGTAACCTAAGAATTTAACTTCAGGTTCTACATACTGAAGTTTCCTTTTTGAGACCTGAAACCCCTCACATTGCAAGTGATTGAGAATGTGTGTAGAGAAGTCACCTACTTCCTTTACATCTTTACTAAATATAAGAAGATCATCCATGTACTGAAGCAGGAATATTTGCTTAGGGACTGTGACTTTCTCTAGTACTTGTTCTAGAATCTGACCATAGAGTTTGGGGGATTCTGTGAACCTTTGGGGCAAGACTGTTCATCGATATTGTTGTCTCCACCCTGAATGGGGGACTTCTTACTCAAAAGCAAATACATCTTGGCTATCCTCAGCCAAGGGGCATGCCCAGAAGGCATCCTTTAAATCTATCACTGTAAACCACAGAATTTTGCTAAGAATGGTGTAAGGGTTAGGAACAATGGGGTGAGAGGTCTGGACTATTTGATTAATAGCTTTAAGGTCTTGCACTAATCGATATGACCTATCTGATTTTGTGACAGGCAGAATTGGGGTATTGTAAGGAGACATGCAGGGTTCAAGAAGCCTATCTTTAATGAGACCTTCAATTACAGGCTTTTAGCCCTACTCTGCTCTCTAAAGGAATGGGGTATTGCTTTCTCCTTACAATTTCCTCAGGAGTTTTTAGTTTGATAAGCATTGGAGGGCAAGTGACACAGGTGAGGGGGTGGCCTGAAATGGCTGGGGAGTAAACTGAAACTGCAGCTGGAGGGACAGAAACCGGAGGAGTGGGATCAGGGACAACCAGAAGAGTGACGCAAGCAGGGGAGGGACCTGAAACGGAAATGGGAGCCGGAGGGGTGCGACTGGGGGCACTGAACAGGGAAAGATGATCTAGAGGGTCCCAGGTGTTAGTGGGTATGGGTTGTCTAGACATGGGGACTCTTTCCTTCCAGAGGGGTTGGCTTCTGGCTTTCTCCTCCTGGAGTCTAAAGGGTGAAGAAGGACAGGTCCCTGCTGCCAACAGAGGGCATAATCGATTTCTTCCTTGGAGACAGGGCTCTTATCATTAACACGCTCGATTAAGAGCTGACAAATCTGCTCCTCATTAGACCTAAATTTTGGCCAGAAAAGTGAGGGTTTAAGATGGATTCTCAAACCCAAATAAAACAACAATATTTTATCATCTGCTGTTTTTGTTGATACCTGGTTCTCTCATTATCTTTCCAATACTTTAGCATAGGCCCCAGTGGACTATCAGAGGGACTTTCATCACTCTCTTGACTCTTTAAAGTTTTCCTGTCTTACTTGAATGTTCCTCATCTTAGGGGTTAGGGGGGGCTTCAACCTCTCCTGTTAGAGGTGTCTACACCCCTCTTTCTAGAGGCTCACTGAGGCTTTAAGAGGGGGTTCAACCTCTTGTGTTAGAGGTATCTTACCCCCTCTCTTTCTGGAGGCTCACTGAGGCTTTAAGAGGGGGTTCAACCTCTTGTGTTAGAGGTGTCTTACCTCCCCTTTCTGGAGGCTTACTGAGGCTTTAAGAGGGGGTTCAACCTCTTGTGTTAGAGGTATCTTACCCCACTCCTCTTTCTAGAGGCTCAGCCCCTCCCGTTAGGGGTTTCCTGCATATCCTATAGCTCACCCCTCTGGAGGCTCCTTGCACTCTTCTTTTTTTTTTGTCTACTCTGACTGTTCCTGCCCCTAGTTGATGGGTGGCAGCATGAAACTGCAGAGAAGATTCACTCACTCCACACAACCATAATGCTTAGTCCCATTTACACACTGTCAACCATCAAATTATCCCGACCACCAGGGAAATACTTTGTCGTCTTTGTGAAGTCTCCTACCTTATTCTCTGCACAAGAATTACCTGGTTTCTTATTGCTATGGTCTTGCAAGCCTCTCTTCCCTGCTTTGCTGAGAACCCAGATTTATTCATCACAACGGGTGGGCCCTGATCCCCCTCACCCCCGGGCCACCATAACTAGACAGTGGGATGAATCCCTCTTAGGTAAGGTGACCAAAGACCTCCTTCCCAAAGGAGAATATTTGCCCCACACTGGGCGCCAGAATTGTTGGAAATAACACTCAAAATCCTAAGGAAATTGAACACTCAAACAAAAGATTCTTAGCAAAGCAATTTTACTTCTGCACAGAAGGGTGCTTCTCCTTGGCCAGTCGCCATGAGAGCACACCTGAACAAAGGGGTATGAAAGCCTTTATTCCTGGCACAAGTCCTGCCCCTGTGCCCTTTCCCCATTGGCTGGGGTCAGGCCACACAATGTAAACTAGTCCCGGTTGGCTAAACATTTGAACTTTCTTTAGATAAGGTGGGCAGGTAAAGGAGAGAGGGGAAAGGGGAAGGGGTGTCTGCAAGGAGCTAGAGAGCTAGTCTTCTTTCCAAATAGGGAAAGGAATGTGAGCTGGTGCTGATAATGCCTGGTACTGTTGCATATCTGGGCATGTAACAAAGGTAGAAAGAAAGAAAGAGGAGAAAAAGGGAAAAAGGGGCAGTACTATGAATTAAAGAATAAAGGATCGTTCAGGCTATTGGAGGAGAAACTTCATCATATCCCACACAGTTTTTCCCATTTTTCATTTCTATATGTGTATACCTAATACACAGAAGACAATTTGCTTTTAAGTAACAGATTACTTTAAATATTTTCCTACAAGTCTGTCAACTTTTTGTTTCAAAAAACTTGTTTTACAATCTTAATTTTAAAATTAAGATTGTCGATTTAAATTAACTGGTTGCATTTTAGTGTCACTGCCCTGAAGGGCTACTGACTTCCTAGGGAGCAGAGGACAGGATACTTTGTGTTCAGCAGCAATGTGCTTTGGGTGAGGGCTCTGTCTAATTTTTCATTCAGGGCTCTCTCTGCATGTTTGAGTTTAAGACCACCTCCAACCTTGTACCCTGCAATTCTCTGTTTTTTTCATTAACATTCAGGATGTGCCACTTTGTTTTCATCAAGACCAATTTGACTTGACCCATTTTAGGTAGAACTTTTCCTAAAATTTTAATAAAATTCTTTTAATGGCAAGTTGGTGGTAGAGGTGGGGTGATAGTCTCCTTTTCTCAGTTTCTAAAATGATGGCCTAAGACAAAACTTTAAGGCAATCTAGGAGGAAGTTTAAAAAAATATTATTCCTTCTCTAGGATTTATAGTCTTTAGAGAGGCTCCAGCCATCCTGTCAGTCCTTTTCTTTCCAAGAATTGCCATTGGTAAGAAGATCATCTTCCCCTAAATTAAGGGCCAAACCCACAGAAGCCTGTTATGGACCATGGAATGATCTCAAGACCATTTCAGTTAGGTACTACTGGAAACCATATACTATTCTGGAATGATGAAACTCCGTTTTAATATCACTTGACTCATTTAATAGAAACATTTACAGGGAATACACCAAGTGGAAAAAGTTTTTACATTTCCTTTCCAATGGGATTATCAGTTTCATGTCCCAATTAAATACGTTTTCAATTTGATCATGGCTGGTCTAAGCAGGTACTTCTGACATTTGGCTACAAGGGAGTGAAGGAAAACTGTGTGTGTAATTTTTCTCCTTTGTTCTGTGTTCACCCTTAATCTAAGTCTCTTAATCCCTTGGTGAGGGTAGAGGAAGTGCTTTTTTGAGTTAACTCTTTTCTCATGTCCGGCATCAAAGTCTTTTCTATCTCAAATATCTCTTACCAAGGATATTTGGCATCCACAATCAGCTCCCTCAGTTGGGTGGTCAAATGTTTTTCTCATCTGTGCCTATTAGGATTTGGAGCCTTTGTGCACATTTTCACTTCCACATCCACATACACGGCTATTAGGAGAGTTCAGGTGATTGCTCTGACGCAGGTAAAGGACAGAAAATTCTTTATAAATTGTAAGCAAAGAGCTTAAGAATTTAATTGCATGGAGGTAGCTACGCAAAAGAGGAAACACTACTATACTCAAATTTGAGGGACAAACATGCCTTACCTTCAGCTCTCTCTGAACAACTTCAATTACTGATCAAGATGAGGTCCCCTTCTGGATTCTTTGAGATGTTCAGCTCTTCTAATGTAAGAGAATCTGAAACCCTTCAGTCCTTACTGTCTACAATGTAGAAACTGGTTATGTGACTGCCACTGACCAGTTGGACATAATTCCTAATACAAAGACCGGGTGAATGGAAGGTCATTTTTCCAACTACATTGCTCCTAACAGACCCAGACTTCAGTCCTTCAGTCATGCTGAGGTCTGGGATCAATCTATGCATGTCATAGACTTGCCTGCATATAACACATTTTTCTGTATAAGTTTATTGGAATGAATTCACCTCAATTTTTGTAGAATTTTATTTTCATGTTTGGGTTACAACAGAGACAAAAATAAAAATCTATAGGTATTAAAGATATCTGGGACTAAACTCTATCTTATATGTGTAAAGGCCTTATAATTTTTAAATAATAATAGCACATACCCTGGATTTGTGTTGTTGCTACTTTGACTTGTGATTTTGTTTGGGATTCTGATATTTCTTCACTATAATTTTATATGTTTTGGTAAATGGATTATTTACAGTTTATAATGATGAAGACAATAAGATCTTATGTGCTCACAAGTAGCAGTAAGCTGTCTTGACTGAATTAAGAACCTTTTTATTCTGGCAAAAGTTATATAGTTCTCATTATATTTTAAATTTTACTTCTAATACTTAACTTCAAGAATCTTGAGGGTAGAATTTGTGTCTTATTCTTCTTTGTCCTCTATAATGCTTAACATATTGTCAGCACAAACCATATCTTCTTTTCTAGATTTTCCCTCTGATTGACATTCACCATTTTTCATGGCCACTTATAAATATTACTACTAAAAATATCAATAAAGAACATTTACCTAAAACTTGCTATATGTCAAGCACTACGTAAAGCCTGTTACGTGGGCTATTTCAAAACATGGTTATACACATTAATCTCTCATTTTGTGGATGAGTACTATGAGGCACAGGTGGATAAAGTAACTTTGCAAGGCTACACAACTACTGAAAATGAGTCAGCGAATATGCCTGTGGGAACCACACTTTTCAATTACTATAATACACTATAGTTTTACCCAATTTAGTCCAGAGTTTCTCTTATGGAGAAAAATGTTCTCTTGGGGGGATTTCTTAATGGGCTTTTTGGTTTGTCCATTTAGTCAATTTGGTTAACAAATACATGTATTGAGCATAACATGCCAGTTTGATATAGAAATAAACTAGTCAAAATGCCCCCATACCTTCAAAGAGCCTTCATTCCAATGGGAAGACAGGAAATAAATAATCACTAATAAATATGCAAGTCATCAGAGAGTGATAAGTGCTATACAGAAAAAGAAATCAAGGTGAGAAGGAATAAAATTGTTTAGGGAAAAGGGGACTATTTGATCTTTTACATAGTATGAACAAGGAAACCCTCTTTGATAAGGTGAAATTTGAGTAGAGACTTGAAAGCTGTGAAGTGAAGACCTGCAGATACCTGGAGAAAAAAGTGCATCTGGCCGAGGGAATAATTGTGAGGAGGCAGCACGAAAAGCCTCCAGAAGGAAACAATAGGAGGTTAGGTCAGAAAGTATCAAGGAAGGGCACAGACTATGCAAGGTCTTGAAAGGGCTTGACTTTTACTCCAAGAAGGAGATGGAAAGTACTTGGAAGTATGTGAGCAGAGGAAAGTCATGATTTGACTTATATTTTAGAAAGATCAGTCAGGATTCTGTGTTGCTAGCAAACTAGAGAAGGCAATAATGGAAACTAGTTAGGGTGTACTAGTTAGTTGGCTACTGCAATCATCCAAGTGAGAGAGAGTGGAAGCTTAGACCAGGTGGTAGAGATGGACATGGTAAGAGGGGATCAGATTCTGCTCATTTTGAAGGTAGAGTTGCAGGATTTACTATTATTAGTGTTATGATTTATTTGTTTACTCATTAGATGTGGAATGTGAAAGAAAAAGATAAATTTAGGTTTGGCTTCACGTTTTTTCTTATCAAACTAAAGAAGAGAGTTGTCATTTACTGACATAGAGAAGACAGAGAAATGAGTAGAATCAGAGAAAATCAAAAGTTGGATTAAGCCAAAATGAGTCTCAAGGAGAGTCTGGATGGGAGAGTCAGAGCACAACAGGCACTAATACTACTTTAAGATGAGAGACGGACGAAAGTGAGTTTTAAATTGATTGCTGTTTGGTTTTGTACGCTACCTCTGTAGGCATCCAGCTTCATGAGTATTTTAGGAGAAGAAAATGAGGACTATGTCCAGATAAAACTGGAGAGATTTAGTGAAATGGCTGTGAATAGTGATGAGATAGAACTAGGCAATAAAAGAAAAAGCCAGAAAAAGGAATTCATAGTTACATTTTTAAGTAGACCTAAGTAATATCTTTGGTGTTAATTTTTTTCTTAATAAATGTAGATTCTTAAATTAACCTATCATATATGTGTATATTACTACTCCAAATTTCCTTAATTTTTTAAAAAAGGAGACATAAGATATCTGTAGTACTCTCATTTTAAATATGCTGCTCTATGAAATTAAATATGTACGTATGTATAGATAGCATATACATATATACATATGTTTACCTCTGAGGTAAAGATACAAAATATTTTCAGATATCAAGAAGTGTATATTTTGTACCTTTCCAATCAATTTACCTCCTCCTCTCTCAAGAGTATGTATACTGTTGGATATGGCTTCTATTGTTCAAAATGAAGCCTATCAAGAATTTATTATTTTTATCACAGTGTAGTATTCCGTTGCATGCTGATCCAATAATTATTTGTTCATTCTCCTGTTAATGGGCATTTAGGTTGTTTCCAGTTTTTGGCTCTTATGAATAATGCTCTTAGGTACTTTTTGTACATGTCTCTTGAAGGATGTATGCATTCATTTTTATTGGATATATACATAAAGGTGTGTTGCCTGGGCTATGCAGTAGGCATATGATTAACTTTAGTAGGTATAGACAAAACTTTTCCAAAGTGTATTTGTACAAATTTTACTAGTTTACATAATTAGTGGCAATGTCAGAGAATTGCCATTGCTCTAGATTTTGGCCAAAGCTTAGTATTGACGAATTTTTTAAAATTCTAGTCTTTCTGTTGGGTATGTGTTTTGTCTAGATTTTAATTAATTTTCATTTCATGAATGGATAATGATGTTGAGCATCTTTTAATGCTTTTACTGATTATTTGGATATCCTTATTTGTGAGGTAGTTTTTGAAGCCTTTCCTTTTAAGAGTTGGGTTATTTAACTTTTCTTATTAATTTTTAAGTTTTTAAGTATACTGTAGACATAAACCATTTGTCACTTACATGCTTTGTGAATATATTCTTCCACTGTGTGCTTGTCTTTTTGCCCTCAATATAGATCTTTTGATGAACAATTCTTAATTTTAATGAAGTCCCTGTATAATTTTTAAATGATTAGAGTCTTTAGTTTTCTGTTTAACAAATCCTTTAATTCCAAAAGCTTTATTGTTTTCTCTTTTATATTTAAGTCATTAAGTCTTTTAGATTAATAATCTAGAATTTGTTTTTGCGTATGGCATGAGATACAGATCAGTACTCATTGTTTGAACATGGATTTACAGTGTCTCCAGCATTTTTGAAAAGATGGTTATTTCTTTGTTAAATGTCAGCAGCATCTTTATGACAAATCATATTGGTCTATTTGTCTAAGTACCAATAACACATTGTAATAATTAGCTTTATAGTAATTTATGGTAATTCTTAAAATTTGGTAACCTCCTTTAATATTGTTCTTATTTTCAAGAATATCTTGGATAGATTCTATATTTTTCATATAAATTTAAAAATCAACTTCTCAATTTCCTTAGGAAAAAATCCTGCCAGAATTTTGTTTGAGGTTACAGTTGGGATTGCACTGAATCTGTAATTCAATCTGGGGAAAACTGATATCTTTATTTAGTTTTCTTATCCATGAACATCACATACCTCTAGTTTTTCAAGAATTTATCTCAGTACTATTTGTAGTTTGAAGTGTATAATTTTGGTACATCTTTGTTAAGTTTACTTGTTGGTATTAGATGTTTTTAATGTAATATAAACGATATTTAACATTTTTTTCTCAAGAAAGAATGTTTTGTTACCACTATAATAGTGATTATTTTTTGTGTATTGATTTGACCACAGAGACATTTCTAAATTCACTTATCAATTTTAATTCTTTGTAGTTTCCTTTGGGGTTTTTAAATGTATAATTATGTCATCTGGGATTAAAGATGTTTTCTTCTTCCTTTCTAATATTTCTATCATTTATTTTCTTGTCTTCTTCCACTGACTAGTACTTCCAGTACAACACTGAATGGAATTAGTGATAGTAAACATGTTTTTCTCATTCCTAAACTCAGGGGATAAATGTTGAATAGATCACCATTAAATATTCTGTTAGTATAATACTTTTTATAGATATTCTATCAGATTAAAACAATTTTTATACTCAGTTGGGTAAAATTTTTTTTGCTATAAATAGCACTTAAATTTTTATCAAATACTTTTTGCACCTATTTAAAATATCCTGAGTTTTTCATTCATTTAGTTAATGTGGCAAATTACATTGATAGATTTCTTAAATGTTAAACTGACCTTCTATTCCTAGAATAAACTCCCATGTTATAATGTATTCTAGGTCATAATGTCTTTTTTAAAAAATAATATATATATATATATCACTGAATTCTATTTGCCAACATTTTGCTGAGGATTTTTGCAGTAATGTTTAGGAGACATGGTAGCCAATAATTCTTTCTTATAGAGCCCTTTTTGTGTTTTGGTGTTTAGAGTTATGCTGGCCTCATAAAACTTATTAGGAATTGTTGTCTTTCCATATTCTCTGAAATAATTTAATAAGTTTAGCTCTATTTTTTTTTTCTGTTTGGTAGAATTCATCAATAAAGCCATTTAGACTGGATTTTTTTTTTTGTTTTATTTTGGTAGAATGGTTTATAGCCTTCAAATTCTCTATTTGTTTTTCTATTAGTTTTGACCATTGAAGCAAACTTATCAAATTTATGGGCATAAAGTTTTAAAAAAAAATAGCCTGAAAAGCTTAGCTGATTTCCTTCCCCTACTAGAGTCTGTCTGCCTATGTAAAGCCTGATTATCTGTTTATGTTAATCTTGGCAAGTGCCTTCAGGGAAGAAATGGCAGATGAAGGTTTTTCTGTCTGAGATTTTAGTATGTTTGGTCCTTTTTGCTTCATCAGTTCTGGAATGACTATAAGAATATGATTTTTAAAATAATTTATCTTTTTAAAAAATTGCTGCAGCAGAAGAAAAAATGACCAGCCTCATCTAATACCTGTATCTTGAAATTGAAGTTCCTCAGTGTTAATTTAAATAAAACAATACACTCAAGCATATGTTTAAAGGAGAAATTATTAGTCTTTTCATTTTATCTCTTTTATGTGAGAGAAGAAATGATTGGCACTCATCCCCTGATGATTTGACAAGGAGATTCCATCAGAGTTACAGATTTTGTAGTGTAAATTAAATTTAAATTTCACTGTAAATTAGTTCAGCCACTGTGGAAAGCAGTGGCAATTTCTCAAAGAACTAAAAACAGAATTACCATTTGATCCATCAATCCCATTATTGATTATATACCTAGAGGAATATAAATAGTTCTACCATAATTTACCATGAAGACACATAAAGACACATAAACACGTATGTTCACTGCAGCACTATTCAAAATAGCAAAGACATGGAATTAACCTAAATACCCAACAATGATAGACTGTATTAAAAAAATGTGGTACATATATAACATGGAATACTATGTAGCCATAAAAAAGAGCAAGATTATGTTCTTCGCAGCAACAAGGATGGAATTGGAGGCATTATCCTTAGCAAACTAATGCAGGAACAGAAAACCAAATACTACATGTTCTTAGTTATAAGTGGAAGCTAAATAATGAGAACACATGGACACAAAGAGGAGAATAACAGACACTGGAGCCTTCTTAAAGGTGGAGGATGGGAGGGAAGGAGAGGATCAGAAAAATACCTATCAGGTACTATGTTTATTAGCTGGGTGATGAAATAATCTGTATACCAAACCCCTGTGACACTAGTTTACCTATATAACTACCCTTCACATGTGCCACTGAATGTAAAATAAATAAAAATAAATAATAACCATTCTGACTTGTGTGGGATGGTATCTCATATTAATACTTGTAAGAACAGTTTGTGATACCTGAAGTATTTGCTTTACTCTGTAGCTTTAAGGTACAAGAATTAAAAAAAAAACTCTTATAGAAAAAATGTTCACCAGCAATTATAAAGTCCTGTAGTTATTGTCTGCTTAGTGGAGTAGGCAGTGTATCAGTTTCATAATCTGAAGAAGGGCCTGTATTTTTCAAAAGTAAAAGCTATAACTTTATAAACTCTATGAAAAAAAAGTCATGACTGAGATGCTCCAAATTAACTTCTCCCCTCAAATTAAGGGAAGAAAATAGGAGAGGAGGATTAATAAGAAAGTCAAATATCAGAAATGTAATATTTTGCATCTGTACCATGAATACATACTCTGAAATATTGGAGAGGGATTTATTCTTAACTTTTTTTTAGTTCTGTCAATGAATCAGAAGTTTTGGATTTATTGAATAGTGGGTTTGGATAAATGCAGCAACTAATTTTAGTGAGTTTCCTTAAATGTTGGGTCTTTCACCAATTGCCACTGTCTCATTTTCTTTAGTCTCTCTAATTTGACTTCATTCCTTATTGTAAGGAGTTTTCGATATTGTCTATACAGGTCTAAAAAAAAACAAACACTTTTGTCTTCCTGAAGTAAAATGTTTGCCTCCTATATCTATGGAGTCACAGGAAATTGTTTGTGTTCACAGGTAAGCTTCCATAATACCTCACTTAATTTGCATCAGATTCTTTTAGTGGAGCACATTAACTTTCATTTCTAAAGATTCCATTGAACTTACATTCATTCATTCATTCATTCAAGTAGAAATGTTTGTGTAAGTGTTACATGGGCAATCATTGACTAGACTTTCCACTGGCATCAGTTCCATTTAATCCAGTATATGTATCTATTAATTAAGATCTCCCTTAAATAGTACTTAGAAGAATGCTACTAGACAAAAAGCTGCAGCAAAAGACTGTTCTGAGGCAGGATGTTGATTTCCTGCTTTACTGGTCTCTAAGGAAAAGGAGAATCCTACTTGAAATGTTGACCCATTATAAATATGAGGGTCAAAATATGTTTTGTTATAATTTGTGATTTTAAATATTGTATGTGTTGGAAGTGGGAAGGGGTGAAGTGGGGAATGAAAGTTATCAAGCTTTGAGTCCCCTTATTTCAGGGAGGATCACTCTAACTAGAATAAAATCCTTGAAGACAGGAAGAGTGTTTTAAAAACAACTATATGTCTGAGTGGTTGGGGACAAATAGTAGGAACTTACTATTTTTTTCAATTATGTATTATAATTTGTCAGTCTGCCAACTTACCCAAAGATAGTTCATATCTGCAGGGGGTGGGGAGAGATAGTTGATATGTTTTGTTTACACTCTAAAAATTTAGACATTATAAAGAGAGAAAGAATGTTTACAATATGCTCTTTAGACCTTTAAATCTTTTTTGACAACAAAGGGAAAGGCAGCCACCAAAACGAATAGCTGTGCTCGGGTGAGCAAGCACACCATGACTATGTATGGCTTCCTTCTGTGCCTTTCCTATGCGTCCTCATTGATAAATCACAAGTGATTCTTGGTCTATGTTGGTGAAAGGATGGAAAAAAAACCAATGCGTATTTATTTTAAAAAGTCAATGATGAGTTGTTTTTTTTTTTTTAAGTTTAGAGGTAACACTTGAGTTCATTTAAGTTTGACTTCTTTCACCTCTCTCTCTCTTTTTTTTTTTTTTTAGAGACCTCTCTACTTTTAATACAAGGTTTTCTGCTGTCATTTTCTTGGTGTTTGAAGTTGAGGTTTCCTGACCCCTGAGACTGCTCTCCCATCAGCATTAGTCAGACGTGGCTCCCGCGGCTCTGTCATGGCACCCTGGAGTTTCCGGGACACTTGTTGCACTAGATGTATTTGTTTCCCTTTCGGGTCTCTGGCTGTGCAGAGAGGGGCAGCTCCTGTCAGAGATTTGTGACTGGATTGCCTGGGTGCTGTCACGTTTCCTGGTTACCCTGTCTAGGGATGCAGATTCAGAAGGAACTGTGCAACACTGGAACTTTTTTGGGGTGAGAAGTTGGTAGACAAACATGAATCATCAGAGGATTTAATGCATCAGAGACAAAAATAAATAGACAATAAATAACTCTTTTTTATTTTTTTTTTGAGATGGAGTCTCATTCTGTCGTCCAGGCTGGAGTGCAGTGGCGTGATCTCGGCTCACTGCAACCTCCGCCACCCAGATTCAAGGGATTCTTCTGCCTCAGCCTCCCGAGTAGCTGGGACCACAGGCGCCCACCACCACGCCCGGCTAATTTTTTAATATTTTTTTAGTAGAGACAGGCTTCACCATGTTGGCCATGCTGGTCTGGAACTCCTGACCTCGTGATCCACCCACCACGGCCTCCCAAAGTTCTGGGATTACAGGCGTAAGCCACCATGCCCAGCCGACAATAAATAACTCTTTTAGCTTCTCACCTAAGGAGCATTTACGTGACTGTATGAATTAGTAATTGGTGAAACATTTCTTGAGCACCCATATATGAGTCCGTACTCATGCTGCTATAAAGAACTGCCTGAGACTGTGGAATTTATAAAGGAAAGAGGTTTAATTGACTCACAGTTCCGCAGTGCTGGGGGGCCTCAGGAAACTTACAATCATGGCAGAAGGCAAAGGAGAAGCAGGCACCTTCTCCACAGGGCAGCAGGACGGAGTGAGTGCAAGCAGAGGAAATGCCAGATGCCTATAAAGCCATCAGATCTCATGAGACTCACTCACTATCACGAGAACAGCATGGGGGAAACTGTTCCCATGATTCAGTTACCTCCACCTGGTCCCACCCTTGACATATGGGGATTGTTACAGTTCAAGGTGAGATTTGGGTGGGAACACAGAGCCAACCATACTAACCTAACATACACAAGATAAAGCTCTACTGAAAGATATGAAAAGAATAAGATATAAATTCTTTGCTTAAGGAACTTACAATCTTCTAGTGGAAATAAAAAGTATATGATTGATAGTATTCTGGGGTATAAACTGCCATACAAAGGGTCTATTGGAGTTTAGACAAAAAAATCATCAGGAGCATCAGTGACGTTTTTTTTCCTCCATTAGATTATTCAATGGCAGTAACATGGGAGTTAAGTCAGATGGACTTGAAGAAGATAATTTTTTTTTTCACTCATGTAACTGAAAAATCCAGTGGTAGAAGAAATGGCTTGCAGGCATAACTTGATAGGGGCTCTGCCTACACTTTCTTGTAATTCTTAATTCTTTTTTTTTTTTGAGATGGAGTCTCACTCTGTTGCCCAGGCTGGAGTTCAGTGGCTGGATCTCGGCTCACTGCAATCTCTGCCTCCCGGGTTCATGCAATTCTCCTGCCTCGGCCTCCTGAGTAGCTGGGATTACAGGCGTATGCCAGCATGCCTGGCTAATTTTTGTATTTTTAGTAGAGATGGGGTTTCGCCATGTTGGCCAGGCTGGTCTCAAACTCCAGACCTTAGGTGACCTGCCCGCCTCAGCCTCCCAAAGTGGTAATTCTTTTATATTCTTATGAAGAATAAATAATTCAGTTATTATAAATTGAATGTGTGTGTCTCCACTTCCAGGCACACGTTAAAATTCGAACCCTTAAGATAATGGCATTGGGGATGAAACATTTGGGAGGTAAATGAATCATAAGATTGAAGTGCTCATGAGTAGGGTTATTGCCCTGATAAAGACATTACAGGGAGCTCCCTCACCCCTTCCCCCAAAGTGAGGACACAGTGAGAAGTCACCATCTTTGAACAAGGAAGCAGAAAATAAGGTTTAAGTGTCCATTCTTTTTTGGTGCCCCAGGCACCAAATTTGCCAGCATGTTGATCTTGGACCTCCCAACCACAGAACTGTGAGAAATAAATGTTTATTGTGTAAGCTACCAAGTTGATAAAAAAAAATTTGTAATAGAATCCCAAATGGACAGAAATGACAATAAGTGAAAACACTTTACACACAAAGTAAGTAGTTAGTAAATGATAAAAAGTTTATCATCAATATTATTAGTATTATAGGTATGAATATATTTAGGGTAAAAACTTAATATTTATGGCTATCTTACTTCCTGTGCCACTGCTCAGTTAACATTTAATAAACTATTAAAATCCATGTGGTAGTGCAGAAGTTTCAAAATTTTTGAAATCATAAAAAATTTATATTTAAAAAATACTAAAAACCCTTTATTGATTTACATTGTGTTAATAATATCTACATTAAATGCATCTGCATATATTTATTATGTAGAGGATGAGTATACATATTTTCAATAACACTCTTAATAATTATGTCATAATTCTTAGGAGTCATCTTGATAATATAATAAGTAAATATTTTGATAGTAAGACTGGAGGTAAAGGTTATAGGATTTTTATTTAGTTTTTTAAGTGGTTCATGCCATAGTAAAATAAGAGAAACATCTTGAATTTCCTCCTTCTAAGTGGTAATACTTCTGATGCTGCTTGGAAATTTGGAAACTTGCTGTATTTAAGAATAATTTGGAGAGATAAGAGAGGGGAACTGGATTCTGAGATACCATCTACAAACAAACCTAGAAAGAAAGCAAATCATATCATGGTATCACTGAAAGCCTAATTCACTTATATAACATTCCATTTTAAAGTAATTTCCAATTTAAATATTTCCAATTTTAATTCAAAATAATTCAAGATCAAATGTATGATCCACCACAGCTTTGTGTTTCCGGACCAGCCATCTCCACATCTCTATTCCGAGATTTCATTTTGTGTAACTCAGGTTGGGCTAAGTGACTAACTTGTACAGCCTTTAATTCTGTGATTTGACATTCCCAATATGCCATTTAATGTATGACTTTCCCAGGATGTCATGCCATTGGTAGAGTCTTGTAAATAACTGGCATGGACTCCAGAAATTCTAGCTTCTGAAATTCTTCCATCCTTTTCCTTTCTGTTCACTTTAACTGCCATTACCTTCAATAACATCCCATCTTCCAGGCCAGGCATGGTGGCTCATGCCTATAATCGCAGAACTTTGGGAGGCTGAGGAGGGCAAATCACCTGAGGTCAGGAGTTTGAGACCAGACTGACCAACATGGTGAAACCCTGTCTCTACTAAAAATACAAAAATTAGCCAGGTGTGGTGGTGCAGTTCTGTAGTCCCGGTTACTCGGAGGCTGAGGCATGAGAATCACTGGAACCCAGGAGGAAGAGGTTGCAGTGAACGGAGACTTTGGACTATTTGCCTAATGCTGATTCTGTTAACTGCTCCTCAGCTAGTAACTGCAGTCTCGACTGGAGGAGCTGGTTCTAGTGTTGACCTAATGCAGAATCCAGGACAGCACCCAGAATCCAGGACACCAGGTGCATGGAACTGCAGCATCAATCAGGCTTTGTTCCTTTGATAAGTGATATTAATACTTATTATTGTTATAGTAGCAACAATACTTTCTATTTTTAGACTGCTTTATAATTTATAAAGTACTTTCCCAAATATCCTTCTAAAGCACTGTGATTACATGAAAAAAATATATTATTTTCTTTATCCTACAGGCTATAAAAACAAAATTTGAGAAGTAGGTATCCTACTCAATCAAGATAGTATAAGTTAATAAATGGTAGACTTAGGAATCCAACCTGGGTTTTAATATATATGATGTTTTAAATTTATCACTCTTAAAGTACTTATGTACATTTGCAAAGAAGCACTACTTGATTTATGTTCCCTCTACCATGACTTAACTGGCTTCGTGTGTGTGTGTGTGTGTGTGTGTGTTAGTGGTGTTGAATTTAGAAAGAAAAAGTACCAATGAGACTTGTCTAGGTCATAAGTTGGAGTTAGTGGAGCTATGTGGGTTTCATTGTATAGATTTTGGAGTCTCTATCTAAATAATTTTACAGTTTAGGACATAAACCAAATGTTTAAAGCAAACAAAATTAAAGAAGAAAGAGACAGCAATGCCTACTTGCAACATGTATTTAACACATTTTACTTTCAGGAAAGTAACACCGAACAGAGTACCTTCAGGAACAAAAATAGGGGAAAGCCCTTTTTCCAATCACAATTAATATCTAGCTGAAACACAAGGTCAAAGGAGGCAACTGCTCCAGGTCTAGAGGGGTGGGGGACTCTATTTGTCTTATCTGTATAGTCTCTTACAACTTACAAACTACTTTCCATATTTTATTTATGTACTTTTTATAATCTGTCTAGCATATATTATGATATAATCTCCATGTTACAAAGTAGAAACTGAGCCCTACATTTAGTGATTTTACCAGGGTAATATTTAATGGAACAGATTGATGCAGAGGAAAAGCTCATATTATTCCTTAAATCATCTAAATCCTAAGCCACATTCTCAGTTCTTGACCTATGAGATTTTTGAAGTTTAGGTTTCTTCTGTTTACTTTTGGAAATAGGGTTTAAGTGTCCATTCTTTATGTGAAAAAATTTTGGAGGAAGGGTGTGCTTTCTTCTGCAAACAGTTGGCTACGTCACAAAATTTTAGCCTGAAAATGATCAACTATATGCTATCATTTCTAAGAAACATCTAAAGACAAGTTGATATTATAAATAAAATTGTTCACTTGTGCCCAGTTAAACAAAATTAAGCTTATATAGGATAGATGGGAGGTAGGAGTGTATAGAATAGACGATGTAATTTAGAAAAATATTAGACATTTCCTTGATGAATTCCCAGAAAACTTTGATTTGCCTCATGTGGCCAGTACGTTTTCTTCATTCATGCTCTTTCAACCACGATGAGTTTTGAACTAGATTTGGATTGCAGTTTTTAACCTTGTTGTATTGCTCTTCTCTATTGTCAAATTGTCCTGTTTTTCAAACATTAGAAACCTATGCCCCTGTTTATAAACCTATAATATATAACACTGTTCTTTAACGTAATTTAAAATTAATTTAGGTCTCCTAATACAAAAAATTCCCAAGCAGACAAATAACTCTGTATGGGGATGAAGATTCAGAGACCTGCTCTGATGGACTCTAAAGGCTCCTGACACTTCCCAGGAGTGGGAGTAATGTTAACAGTAAAGAGGGAGAAGGGGTTAACTACAAAAATTTTTGCAATAATATAAGAAGGATTTGTTCTGTTTTTATTTTAGGGGGTGAAGAAAAGACTTTCTCAACCTTGGAAAAGTCTGTTTTCTTGACGTAGGTTTGGAAGATTTTATTGCATGCTCCCATGATTCTAGAGTACCTCAAGACATCAGTATGTTTCCTGATAGTCTTAAGTTGGAACAATATAGGGTTCTTAATGGCTGTACAAAAGTCATTTGTGCCACAGGAAACAGACATTTGGGAAGATGGGGAAAAGGGATAATTAGGTTTCAGGAAGGAAGAAAAAGGGATTTCAATAGTTTGTATTTTAGAAAGGTGTAAAACTACAATGGTGTATAAAGCAGGATTCTGTAAGGAGGAGGATGAACCCAATGTGATAAGGAATTCAGGGCAGCAGGGAGATTGGTTTACAACATCAGGGGTTGGAGTAGAGGTTCATGAATAGCCTCCCTTTGGCCTCAGTACTCATCTCTCCTGTTGCAGTGAATGAGGAATGGATGTCATAATCAACAGTGATTAAGCAAGCTGCCCTTTTCTGTAGGCCCTGAAGCACTACCGCTTGGGCTGGCCCAGGAATCTTTTCTCCTGGACTTTGTGCATGGGACCATGAGTACCTCCTCCTCAAGTAGCAGAAGTGCTGAAAGCTACTGTTTTCTATCATTATCTGCTACCATCACTCCCCTGTTCAGGGGAATGATGCTGTGTTAAACTAAGTTATTATGTAAAAGCCTTATGCTGCTGTGCTGATAATTAGGAATCCCCAACTTTATGTGGCCTAGTGTAACCAAGTAGGCTTGCTGGCATTTAGTGGTGAGATACATTTGCTTTAGAAAAAAGGCACATTTAAGGTGAATTTGGGTGCTGGCTAATATCTTTTGACAGGTAAGTTTCTTATGTGATACGTTAACTGTGTCTTTGTGAGAGGTGAAGCCGGCTGGGCTTCTGGGTCAGGTGGGGACTTGGAGAACTCTTCTGTCTAGCTAAAGGATTGTAAACACACCAATCAGTGCTCTGTGTCTAGATAAAGGTTTGTAAATGCACCAATCAGCACTCTGTAAAAATGGACCAATAGCACTCTGTAAAATGGACCAATCAGCACTATGTAAAATGAACCAAATCAGCAGGATGTGGGCGGGGCCAAATAAGGGAATAAAAGCTGGCCACCTGAGCCAGCAGTGTTAACCCGTTTGGGTCCCCTTCCTCACCGTGGTAGCTTAGTTCTTTTGCTCTTCACTCTTTGCAATAAATCTTGCTGGTGATTACTATTTGGGTCTGCACTACCTTTATGAGCAGTAATGCTCACTGCAAAGGTCTGCAGCTTCACTCCTGAAGCCAGCAAGACCACAAACCCACCGGGAGGAGCGAACAACTCCGGACACGCCACCTTTAAGAGCTGTAACACTCACTGCAAAGGTCTGTGGCTTCACTCCTGAAGTCAGCAAGAAGGAAGAAATTCCAGGCACATCTGAACATCTGAAGGAACAAACTCCGGACACACCATCTTTAAGAATTGTAACACTCACTGTGAGTGTCCGCGGCTTTGTTCTTGAAGTCAGCCAGACCAAGCGCCCACCAGAAGGAACCAATTCTGGTCACATTTGCACTTGATAACCAACTCCAATTTGGGAATTACAGGGACAGTTGAAGTAACTAAAAAGTATAGGTTGGCATAATACCTAATTTCTTTAAAAATGATCTACTTAGAGCTACTCATCTCTATATAAAATAGTGTATCAGTTTTTTAGAAAGTTGAAGACAATATAAGCTTAAGCAGGTTATATTTGTTGATGGAGATGACAAGTGTATAGATGCCCATATTATAAGGCAGACTAGTAAGTATCGAAAGGAAGATGCAAGCAAAATGTCATGGAAATGATTAGAAAAGCAATAAATCAGGAAAAACTTCAGGCAGGTGATATTATTTCAGACGAGCATTGAGAAGCAGTGATCTGAGAAGGAACTTACCATTATAAGTTGATAATAATTTTAAAAAACTTGGGTGTAGGAAATGGCAGAGTGGCCTAGAAGAGAAGAAAATAGTTTACTTATTCTAGAGTTGGAAATATCAGCTTTGTGTATATGTATTTACCAAATGAAGTTTGAGGCTTAATCTCTTTACATGTCTTTTATCTTTGTTTGCTTCCATGCTTAAAGACTTAGGCCTTAGGCAAGCTTAGGCCTGCCTTTAACTTGGGTAGAATGGTAAGAGGAGAACAAAAGAATCAGTGCAAATCCATCTGCACTCTGGGAAAAATAATTCGAAATACATGGGCCACTTATGATATATATTATATTACATTATTATGTATGTTACATGTTTAAAAGTAAATACTTCCAGGCTGAGCGTGGTGGCTCACGCCTGTGATCACAGCACTTTGGGAGGCTGAGGCAGGTGGATCACAAGGTGAGGAGTACAAGACCAGCCTGGCCAAGATGGTGAAACCTCGTCTCTACTAAAAATACAAAAATTAGCCGGGCTGGGTGGCAGGTGCCTGTAATCCCAGCTACTCAGGAGGCTGAGGCAGGAGAATCACTTGAACCCAGGCGGCAGAGGTTGGAGTGAGCCAAGATTGTGCCAGTGCACACTCTAGCCTGGGCGATAGGGTGAGACTCGGTCTTAAAACAAGCAAACAAACAAACAAAACTAAGGACTTCTGAACACTGCCTACAAAGTAATAATGTGGAATGTTGGGAGATGAAACAATTTGTCTCTGTCTTTCTAACTCTTCAGGTTTGGAATTCACTTGAGCATAAGGTACATATGAGAGAATATTAGGAGTTAAGATTGGAATTTATGTAGGTGGGACAAATATTGTGGAATTTGAGTGTTTTCAATAAAGCAGTAATAATCACTAAAAATTGTTTATCTTGGTTGTAATATACTTGCACATTAGGATATGCAAAGATCAATAGGAGAGAATCAATAGACTCTGAAGACTTACAGTCTCCCAAGGGAAATAAACATATAAATAATGATAATTAAAGACAGTGTGATATATGGGAATATCAGAGAGAAATCCTTACTCTCGTTCCAGTGTGAATAAACTATTTTCTTGCTTTCATTTATTTGACCCTGCCTAGCCCTTTGGTAACTGAATGATAACATAATGGAAGTATTTTGATAGCTGAGGAACACAGTAAAAATTTTCCAGAATGGATTTGAAACTAAGAGAAACTGTAGAACTGAGACCAGTGAAGAGGTTATTGCAAAAGTCTAGGGAAGATTCTCAAATTATTTTTCAAGTAGCCATCAATGAAAAATTCCAACAAAGATCTAGGAAAAAGTGATTTTTGCAGTGTCAATGGGATGGTATCAAAGTGGTGCTACTGATGATTTAATTGAATTTTTGGTGAAGAGCTGAAGTATACAATCTGAGCTTTAATGACCTAGAATGAATTCCTCCTGAACATACATATAAAAAGGAAAAAGTGTGGTGTCTGGGCATCTGAATTCAACAGACTGATTGCATAGTAACAACCTAGAGAAATGAGGTTTCAAGTTCAATCTCTTTACATGTCTTTTATCTTTGATTGGTTCCATGCTTAAAGACTGATTCCCAAGCACAGGCACCTGTCATTAACGTGGGTAGCAAAAGTAAGAGAACATAAAAGCATCAGCACAAATCCATTTGCACTCTGGGAAAAATAATTCCAAGTTCATGGACCAGTTGTGTTCTATTAATTTCCAGAGGACATCCTGGTGACTAGAACTCTCAGTAGAAATACTACATCTTCATTTCATATTGGGTCACAGGACCCAGAATATCAGTATAAATTTTTATTGTGTTCATCAATTGTGAAAATACCTCCATATATGTTGTCCTTCAGTTACCATGGACCAAGGAGCTGAGCAGACTCAAATAAATGAAGACAAGAAAATATTTATTTCATACCTAGATTGTAGTAGAAATTTCTCTTTGATACTTTCAATATATCATACCCTGTCTTTCATTACAGTTATGTATGTGTCTATTTCGCTCAGCAGTCTGAATCCTCCAAGTGCAGAGATTCTAACCTATTCGTCTTTGCATCCCCTGAAATATTTAGCATAGTATTTTTCAAAGCGTTGATTTTCAAGAAATGTTTGCTGATAGTGACAGAATTAAATACACACATTATTTAGTCATCTGTTAAATTTGGCAAAGATGTGCAGATACTGTTTTCTCTCTCTAGAAGAAGTTAATATGACCAGCATGTCCTAAGAACTTTTTATGTGTTACATCATTTAATACTCACAATGATTCTGTGAGATAAGCATTATTATTATCCTAATTTTACCAATATGGAAACTGAGATATAAGGAGATTAAACGGTTTCCCTAAGAGGCTTGACATATTTAATTGCCATCACAAACAACTCTGGAAGTTCATCAGGGCAAGTATCATCTATGTATTATTGGAGAAGAAACAAAAGCTCAGAGATGAGATTTCCGCAGGGACACAGAGCTCATAACTAGAAGGGCTTGCACAAGAATCATACTCTCATGCTTCTGATTCAATTGGTTTCTTCATTTGTGATCTGGGGATAATAATACCTACATTGCTCTCTTATGGGAATAATCAAAGTAAAGCACGTTATCACAAAACATATATTGAACGAATGTTTTCTTCTCAAGCATTATTATACCATGCTACATTTTTATTACATGATGACTAACATCAACAGCATCTCTCAAAACAAAAGCAATCTTCTCTCTCAAGATATGGTTTAGAATTCTGTAATAGTTCCACTTGGGTAAAGCTTTATTTTTCTTTATCATGCTATCTATATTTTTCTTTCCCTATCTGATCAAACTTAAGTATCAATGGTTCCATTTGATCATTGCTTACATTGAAAATCGAAATCTAAATTGTTAAAAGAGCATTTCTAATTCCTCATACGTGTCTTGCCTTTATTATGTTCTGAACTTAACATTTATAGTAATTGGTTGTAGTTAATTTTTGCAATACTGTGATGCTTCAGCATCTATTTTGAATACAGGAGGCAGCCTCATACTGGAAGCAGAGCTCATACCGGAAGAAATGCTCAGCCACTCTTGATGCAGTTTCCAGTTTTACACCACACCTAAGTGATTCAAGCCTGTGACCAGACATAAGAACTTAAAAGACATCTCTCCCTAGGAGGCCTTCAGTTTTCCCTCCTCTTTTTTTAAACAGACCATTCAGGCATTTGCCTGTGAACTTACAGTGACTCACACCCTATTCCTCTTTATATGCTGTTAGTTGCCATGGGCTTCTCTCTCTGTCTGTCTCTCTCTCTGCCTGACTCTTTATTCTTGCCTTGCATGACCTGGGGACAGAGGACTGCCCTTCTGACTCATTATCTCATTATGCCCTCCATGCTCAGGATCTCTAAGTAAAAATCTTTGAAGTTGTTTCCTATTGTGGTGGTGTAGTAAATCTGCGCCTTCCATCTGAAGAATGAGGAACTGTTTCAGGCCATTTCCCAACCTGACAACAGGGAGAACAAAAGGCCAGACCCCTAGCACCCAGAGCCAGGCATAAACTGGACATGGGTCAGACAAGAGCCACAAGGGCATCTGTCAGTATAAAGTTTCCTGTGTAAGGAAGCCCCCATGGTAGTGGTTGGACAACTAGCCGTTAGGCCATTTGCCAGGTGAAAAAAGTATCCCAAGAGAGGCATACTGTAAACACCCATGCCCAGCTCCCCTCCATTTTCCATTAGGGGAGGGTTGCTAGTCTCCCTGGTTCTGGAACCCCAATTTTACTGGGAGCTCTCAAAACACTAATATACCTTCCATAATTAATTTTGTTGATATAGTACTCAGATAGTTTGCTTTCATTGTTTTTATACTTGGTCATCAAGTTACTAAACTCTTTAAAACTTTATTTAAACTTTATTCTAGCTTTTTCAGGTTTATCTATGAAATGTCACCAACCTTCGCTAGAGTGTCATCTTTCAATCTTTGGCAACTACTGGAGACAAATCTTGAAATTCTGATGGACTTAATGGGTTTGTTGAATGTTTTTGAGATCATTGACCATAAAAAAAGCTCCAGAAATAAGTGCAAATTTTCTCTCAAAAAGGTTAATAGTACGGGCAATAGCATATTTTCTGAGAGTTATTATAAAGAGAGGATAGTGTCCTATTAATTTCGTTAATGTGTAATTGCTCAAAATTTCCTTGGCTTAATCACTCTAAGACTGCTTCTTTACTTACAAAATAAAGATGCATGCATTTATTCATTTTTCTTCAATAAATATTTGTAGAGTGTTTTATATATACCAGCCATAACACAATCATTAGATAATAATAATGAATATAACAAAAACACTATTAATAGAAATAACAACACTTTATACAGCTTTTTATGGAATTAAATCATATGATTTATGTGGCAGTGCATAGCATAGGTACACCATATAATTTCAGATTATATTATGTGTACATTTTAATTTGCTATTAAAGGGATTTCACTCAGAGCCATTTACAATTTAAGTGAATTCTTGCCTTAGGCTTTAATTTTTTTCAGACAGGCATGGTAATTATACATACCTATGCTTCTTGAAATACAAGATACCTGTAGGTTTTAATTCAATGCATTAACTCAGTGCTTCATGCATCTTCAAAACCTGCACCATATCAGGACCAACAGTAAATGAGCATGTTGTCAAATGCACATGCAAATCTAACTGAAAGAACAGAAAAAAAAAAACACTTTAGAAGTTTTAATTTTATTTCTTTAACTTGCTGTTCTTATTTAGTAGATCTTCAATTGTATAACTTTTACTTTAAGTGCTCCTGTAACTTTGGAGATTTATTTTTCCATTGTTAACTACTCAGATTCCTTATCATTTAGCACATCTTTTAATTTTTTCAAATTACTAAAATACTTTCACTCCTTTGAAGATTTATACAAATATTATGTATCTTATGATCTTTGGGATAATCTGTATAAGGAGTATAGTCAAAAATTTCAAATGATTTTTGGGCTGGGATCTTAAGCATAAAATATTGGACAGATATTGGCTATTCAACATCATTTGTTAGTGGTTGCTAGTTTTATGTTATTATGTACTTCAGTGTGAAAGCTTGGTTAATTTTTTTTTCCTGATTTGTGTTGAAGGTACAAATAAATTACAAGGCAAATGTGGTATTTTATTAATAAAATGGAATTATTACTCAACCTTCAAAAAATGAGATTTATCCTTGTGCCATAACATGGAAAAGTGGCCATTATAGATTGTGAAGTGAAAATAATAAATTTTGGAATACTATATACAGTATTTTCCAATTTGTTTAAAATTAGGCATTAAAAATATGTGGAAGTACATATAAAACTTGTTTCTCTCTATAGAGAGAACTGAATCTGCAGTCTATGCAGGAGGCTTACTTCTGTGATTTTATTTTTTACCTTGTGTAGGCATATCTTTGTAAATTATAAGAAACTTAAAAAACATAACATGAAGCTTATAAAAAGTAAGAACCACAATAAAATATATTGTATACTTCATTAATTGATTCTTCCTTTTTTTTTTTTTTTACTTATGACTTTAGAACTAATAGATCCAATAGATTTTTGGCTCTTGGAGGTTACCTAGTCCAATTTCCAATGGCTCCCACTGAAATTGAGGTTGAGTGAGCAGCCTAAAATTATTCAGGTTAATGGCTGAGTAAGGACTGGAACCTTGGTTAGGTAGAACTTAAAATTTCAGGGTGCATGGTCCCCTACTGTCTCTCTTCCTTCTTTGAACTTCAGTTTTGATGTCTAGCTAATGTCTATTTAAGGAGATATTATGTCTAGTCATATGTTTCAGTAGAGCTCCTTTTGTAAATAAAGAAGAAAATACAACCCAGAAGACACTGCTGTACCTGCACAAAGGATGAAGAGCTGAAGAGCTTGTAGATATTGAAAGAAAGAAGTTACTTTGGAAGTTACATGGTCATTTGAGAAATTTGGAAGGTCAAGTGATGTGATATGTGATGTATGTGATATAAAATAAAAATTTACATATGAAAGTAGGGCCTAGAGAACTGTGCCAGATTCCGATTAATCGGTAAAAGTTGAGAGTGGCCTTAGCAGCTGACACTTCTGTTGGCCAACATTGTCATCATGATCGGTTGAGCTCAGTATCTTTCTTTTCCAGTTTTACCAAATTCCTATGGTCATATGAGTGCTATTTTTAGTCTGATGTTTAAAAACACACTGATGGCACATCTTCTTTCAAAATCTCTTGCCCTGAAAACTAAGAGAGAAAAGATTCATTCCTAGTGCACCTGGCCATTCTTTATCAAAAAAAAAATCATCCAGAAATAAATAAATTAGCTCTAAAATATAAAATTATAACCTTACACATAGATGTCATATTGTTTTAGTCTTCCTGATACCAGCAACAAGTTGAACAAATGCTTTAATTCTCATATGGTTTATTTTGGTACTATAAAAACTACAGAAACACAAGCGTGTGTATTCACTCACACACACAAACACACAAACATTGCACTATATAGAGACCATTGAGATTAAAAACACTTTGTGATTGAGTTGAAACAGTCAGAAAGACATCAGCAACAGAGGGGTCCCATCCTGTCTACTCTATCTTGGCTCTGAAGCTCCAGATATGACTGCATAGCAGCTTTCCCCACGTCATTGCTGAAGTCACAGATTTGAGTTTCAATCTTCAAAAATGAAACAATTTCACTCAAAGAAAGGATTTCTCATGAATCACCATTGCTGAATAAGATTTTGCCTTAAACTGTATTTACAATTATATTAAATTTGTAGAGACATACCAAACCTAATAAACTCCTATGGTTATACTTTCATATAACTATAAAACTAAAGAAATTTGAAAATCATAAGTAAAGAATCCTAATATGAGTACCAAACCAATAAACACTAACGCTTCATTTTAAGGTGACTGAAGCCTAAAGATGTCACTTTGTTGAAAATATTGCTGTGGTTGTAGAAGTGCATGGTGCAGATTGTCAGTGTTAAATTCAATTTAATCATGTTCTCCCACCTTGTGCTATGACATCAAATGGTGCAAATGCTAATTTTTGCATTGATGCACCTATTTTATCACTGGCCTTCAACCCAAGTAGTGCTTCTTGCTGCCACTTGGACTGTGAACACAAACACTAATGAGGGCACATGTATTATTTGGTAGCAGATTCCAGATGACTAAATGTGCTTATTTTAATTCTTTCAGGCTCTAATAGAAGTGAAAGACCCAAATTAGAGAAAAATAAGCTCGTTTATGTCTTTAATCTATCTTGAGTTAATTTTTGCACATGGTAAGAGGTAAGGGTCAGTTTCCTTCTTCTGCATATGCTTAGCCAGTTTTCCCTGCACCATTTATTGCACAGAAAATCATTTCCTTGTTGTGCAGTTGTGCCAGTAATTAATTGATTGTAGGTGTGCAGCTTTATTTCAGTGGCCTCTATTCTATTCCATTGGCTATGTGTCTATTTTTGAATGAGTATGATGTTGTTTTGGTTACTGTAGCCTTGCAGTATAGTTTGAAGTCAAGTAATATGATACCTCTGGCATTATTCTTTTTACTTAGGATTCCCTTGGCTATTCTAGCTTCTTTTTAGTTCATATGAATCTTGGAATAGTTTTTTTTTCTAATTCTGTGAAAAATGAAGTTGGTAATTTGACAGGAATAATGTTGAGGCTGTAGTTTGCTTTAAGAAAACCTAGGAAATATTCTTCTTCATAAACTGTTGGCCTAGGCAAACAGTTTATGATGATGACCCCCAAAACAAATACAACAAAATAAAAAATAGAGTAATGGGACTTAAACTAAGGAGCTACTGCACAGCAAAAGAAACTATCAACAGAGTAAACAGACAACTTACAGAATGGGAGAAAATATTTGCAAACTATGGATCTGACAAAGGACTGAAAGTCAGAAAATAACAGGTGGTGAGGTTGTGGAGAAAAGGGAATGCTTACACACTGTTGGTGAGAATGGAAATTGGTTTAGCCCCTGTGGAAAGCAGTTTGGAGATTTCTCAAAGAACTAAAAACAGAATTACCATTTGACTCAACAACACCATTACTGGGTATGTGCCCAAAGGAAAATAAATTATTCTACCAAAAGACACCTGCAGTCATAGGTTCATTGCAGCACTATTTGCAATAGAAAAGACAGAATCAACCCAGGTGACCATCAGCTGTAGATTGGATAAAGAAAATGTGGTACATATACACCTTGGAAGAATATGTAGCCATAAAAAACAATGGAATCATGTCCTATGTAGCAACATGGATGCAGCTGGAAGCCATTATCCTAAGTATAATACATTAGCACAGAAACAGAAAACTAAATATTCCATGTTTTTACTTATAAGTAAGAGCTAAATGCAGACACAAAGATAGGAACGATGGACACTAGGGACTCCAAGAGAAGGGAAGGAAGTAAAGGGTTGGAAAACTACCAATCAGGTACTATGTTCACTATTTAGACAGTGGAATCATTAGAAGCCCACAACTCGGCATCACGCAATATACCCATATAACAAACCTGCACATGTACCCCCCGAATCTAAAATAAGAATATAATAGAGTAACCTCAAGATTTTGACTGTATTTGATAATTTTTCTCTAGACAAATAAATGATACAATGATCAATAGAAAATTATAGCATTTTTATGTTTTTATGCATCATTCATGTCTTAACCACTTTCAGTTAGCTGTTAAATTAATGCAAATATGAGCTTGATTTCACAACTTGTCAGAAAAGTTTTTAGCAGTTTTATATTGGATATTGAGAATTTGTCATTAACATGTTCTCCTAAACTCCATCTTCTTCCATCAATGCATATAATATATAGAATATAGTCCAGTCACTAATAATAGGACAGCAGTAGTAATTAAATATTTCAAGGTCTAGATTGTTTATGAGTTTAAATTGAAATAAAAATTGGTATACTACCCAATGTCCTCTTTGTCTACCATTTTATATGTTTGCAGCTTGGTATCATAATGATACGAGCTACATTTGATTATTTCTAACCTTCCCTATTACTCTGAATATTTCAAGTTTGTATTATGAACAGAAACCCATTTGAGTCACTAATTTATTAACTAAATATAACTTGAATCAGTAATTTATTATCTAAATATATTAATTCCAGTTTTACCTTTACTCATATCATCACAATAACCTCTTAGTGGCTGCTTACTAATTTTTTTAAATATTATCTTATCATCTGAACAGCCAAGTGCTTAGAAATATACAGATGGACCTGATATTAAAGATGATATATACCTACCCTTTATGGTTTTGTGCATGGCAATGGAAATTATCTTCTACTTTTGGTCTTATTATTTTGATAAATAATAACATTATTTTTATTTCACATTAAGCAGTGTTACAACTATACACCTGCAGTCTGTGGCATAATACAGTTGCCTGCCTGCCTTCCTTCCTTCCTTCCTTCCTTCATTCCTTCCTTCCTTCCTTCCTTCCTTCCTTCCCTCCCTCCTTTCTTTCTCTCTCTCTCTCTCTTTCTTTCTTTTCTTTCTTTCTTTTTCTTTCTTTCTTTCTTTCTCTTTCTTTCTTTCTTTCTTTCTTTCTTTCTTTCTTTCCTTCCTTCCTTCTTTCTTTCCTTCCTTTCTTCCTTCCTTCCTTCTTTCTCTCTTTCTCTTTCTTTCTTTCTCTCTCTCTTTCTTTCTCTCTCTCTCTTTCTTTTCTTTTCTTTTCTTTTCTTTTCTTTTCTTTTCTTTTCTTTTCTTTTCTTTTCTTTTCTTTTCTTTCCAAGACAGGGTCTCACTCTCTCTCCCAGGCTGGATTGCAGTTGTGTGATCATGGCTCACTGCAACCTCGACGACCCTGAGCTTACATAATCCTCCCATCTCAGCCTCCAGAGTATCTCAGACTACAGGTACATTCCACCATGCCTGGCTAATTTTTTGTATTTTTCATAGAGATGAGGTTTTCCCATTTTGCCCAGGTTGGTCTTGAACTCTTAGGCTCAAGTGATCCACCCACCTCGACCTCCCAAACTGCTGGAATTACAGGCATGAGCCAATGCAACTGACCCATTTGCATTTATTTCTGTAGCCAGGTAACATAGTTGAGTAAGTCAGTTAATATGAATAAAATAAACAATAAATATATAGGTTTTTCCTAAAATCTTAGTCAAGCCCAGTTTCGTAGGTCATCCAGGGCACCTGACATGGGTCAAACTAATTTGTTAACTCTGGAAAATAAGTTATCATGATGAGCTCACTCTGTATAGGTAAAATATTTTTAGGAAAGATCACTTGAAGATCACTCGTAGGTACTCAAGCCTGCAAAATTGTACTTTTATAGAGGCAAACCATGGACAGTACTTTCCCTCTTTAATGGAGTCTCCTATCTTGGTAATCAATAAATGTATAAGATAATTATTAAAATAAGATTCTTGATTTTTTGTAATGTAAGTTCTTGATAAGATCCAAAATACCATGATTTTCCACTTTTAAAAGCAACTACCAGATTTAGAGGCATTCTTTTTTTTTCTTTAATTTCCTGTGCTATTATTTTCCCACCCTGAATTCTGTTTTGAAGCTCTTAGCAGCTTTTTTCCGAGTGAGAGGTTTTCACGCCCAACAGGAAACAACCACCACCAAATAAGGATATATTGTCATTTCAGTTACTTGATTCCATGTCCAGCATCTCGGTCACCTGGGGAGAGACCTCTGGTAACCTCACATTTTTCAAAATGAACATTAGGGTGAATTTGCGATATATTTTTGTGTTTTATTAATTATATTCTTGTTTCCCCCACAATTTTGTCTTCTATTTTTGTCACGGTATCTCTCAAGTCTTCCTGTTGTATTTCTACAAGATAGCTCTTGCTCTTAATTGCACAGTCCCAGCGTGTGTGTTTGTCTGTGTCTGTTTGCATTCTTACATGCCTGCACTTTTACAAAGAGTGAGTTTTTGCCTGTCAAAGGGCTCTATGTTAACAGCTCCTTCTTGAGCCAAAGGAAAATTAGAGTTGGATTTAAGGCCTTATAATCAGAGGAGAGCCTGTGCACTTCTCCAGCTGACTTGGGTTCTATCGACTTGACCTTTGTAGGAGAAAGTTCCTGGGAAAAAAAATGAGATGCTGCTCTGTCTTTCACTCTCAAGTAATTGAAAGCCCCAAATGGGAATAAGGAGCTGGAGAGATATAAGGCATACATTCCCTGGACATCTAAGTGCACAATTTTCTTGTCATCACAATATATCACTGTGTACATTATGCTGACAAACTCCACATTTCTTGGTCTCTCTTCAACCTTTTTGATTGGCTATCAATAAGCAAAGGGAATGAGAAAGGCTCCCTTGAATTTCCGTAGCTACAGCCAACCCTCTATTTAGATCTGGCATTGTCTTTGAAAACAAAGTGATGAATTCAAGCATTACAGTGTCTTGCATCTCAAACATTCCGGTAAGTTTCCTTCTTTGCTCTGTTCAAAGCACCCATATTTTGTGTCTATTGTTGTGCTACATTAAGGAGTCTCAGTGTATTTTCTCTCTGCATTTCCTTCACTTGTCCGTGCCAACCTTTCTTCTGCTTCATCTTCTTTTGTTAAGCTTTGTTTTATTTCTGAGATTGAATTCTCAACCTTGTAAAGAGGAGGTGGCCTCACACTTATTTTTCTTTATTTTCTCTTGAGAGTGGCCACAGCAGGGCATTTTTGCTGTACTACACTTGGCAACTGAGTTCTGTGTGGCAGATGAGTTGTTTTCTAATTGCATCGTATCTAGTAGCTATCTAGTTTTGTCTTCAGTAGGAGAACTCAAAAACTATGGTTTTGAAAGTTAATTCAGGGCTATTTATTTTGAGTTATGTTGCCTTTTGCTGTGATATATCTTGGAGACTGACGTTTTACTAAAATGTAGATTAAGTTCACACAACACATTTTATTATGTCTCTATATACAGCTAGCATTAAAGACCTGAAGCATAAGCATATGACCCAAACCCTTGCCTACAAGGGATCTTGCAATCTAGTTGGGTGAATAAATATAAGGATTTTTTAAAATCTAAAAATACCAGTGAGGCTCTATTTTTAAAAAGGCATGATACAGGAGTGACCTCACATGTGCTAAATGCATTGTGTAAGATTAGCTCTGCCCTCATGTGATAAGTGAGACTATAGTTATGCAATTTTGATCTTATGAAACTATAATGATTATAAATTTCAGATGGCCTGTAGGAGGAGAAAAGGAGATAATTATAAGTTCATAATCAGAAAAAGCTTGGGACTAGAACTGGTCCTAGGAACTAAAGTGACTATGAAGCTGAAAAGCAGGAGAGACAAAAATAGAGATGAGAGGGTGGAGTGCGGGTGGAGGTTCTACAAGAGAAGATTAGATAGTATATCCTGGATGGCACTCATGACCCTGGGAATAGATCCAAATCAAGTTCATCTCACCTTTAAGGGCAGCTTGCTCCGTCTATCATAAGTGCGGGAGTGGAAGGAGCATACACCAAATTGGCTTTAGAGACCTGAGTTTGTATCATGGCTCAGCTACTTCTTAGCTATGTGACCATGACCTGTGTTTTCTCAGCTGTGAAACTGGAGAAATAACTACTTTGCAGTAAAGTCATAAAGATTAGAGCTCCTGATAGGATGCCAGGCACACAGAGGAGGCTAAGTGGTGGCTATAATGCATGCTGTAGCTCAGGTAAGGGAACTGGGTCGTGTGTGTTGTAGAGCCTATTCTTAAAGCCAATCTTTCGCTAAGGGTTTGTGTTTTAGTATTTTGCATTTTAAGATTTTTGATTTTTCATATGTTGACCTTCTTTTCTATTGCCATTACTTTCTAAATGATGTTACAATTTAAAAAGTGGGGAAAATGTTCTTAGCTGAACTAAAGAGAAAAATAATTTGTCGTCAGAACAAGAGAGTGAGGCCATTTTAGAGGTCAGGTGTAGGGGGCAGGGGTGTGGCATCAGCTATCTGGATAAAAATGAGGAATTAAGAGAATAGCAGATAACACTAGTACACAGAGTAGTAAAGTAAGATTGGTGATGATTTTCAATCCACCTCTACTTGGGCTATTTATTCCCTTCGTCTTAATTTTTTCTTTCTGTCTGATGTTCTTTGGAAAAAATCAGAGTGTGGCAAGTTGGTCTTGCTCGTAGGGGTGCTAGAAGAAGTTACACTTACCCAATGCATTGGATATTAGATATACCCAAGATAACTGTCAGGTCAAGTGGTGTGAAGACAGGGAAGATTTTGGAGCCAGTAATCGGGAATATAATGGGGGAAGGAAGAGAAGCCAGAAAACAAAGACTAAAGTAGTGGTTCTTAACTCTGGCTGTATATTACAGCACATATGGTCCTTTGGAAAAACACGGAAGCTGGTGCCCCACATTCAGAGATTCAGATATAATCAGAGATTCAGATATAATAGGTCTGGATGAAGCTTGGGCATTGCTATTTCTCCAAATCTTTCTAGATTATTCCAAAGCACAGGCAAGACTAAAAATTAATGTAAACTAAGAGTAAGGGTCCCTAGTAGATCTTTTTCATATATGATGCGAAGCCCAGGTTCATAAAATTAAGGGAATAAAAGCAAGTCCTTAACGTACACACACACACATACACACACACACTCACACACACAGACACACACTTCAAGTAAAAACTAATCCTGATGCTGTTCCAGATCTTTGTAGGATGATGTGTGGATAGGCAAACTAAGAAGTAGACTTCTTTTTTCCCAAAGAAATAAGAAAATATACACTGGAGCTTTTTAATCTGGTTAAATTATTAAGTTGAAATCTTATAACTGGTAGGGAGTTACATGTAATTATACTCTATTTTGCAAAAAAAGTAGCTATTTCTTCAGTCTCCATAAAAATGGACTATTGGTAGGAAGATAAAGCAAAGAATAAGGCAAAAAGTTTCTGGGACTTAGCACTCAGAAGACTGAATTAGAGAGAGACCAGGAGTCTGGGAAAGTGGGTTACATTCAACTGGGCAGACGTGGAAGAGAGTGCGAAAGGCATCCTCACCCAGCTGAATACACAGTGTATCACAGTGTTGCTTCTAAAACCGGGGAATCAGGGAGTTGACCAGGAACAAAGCAGGGCCATCATGACTGAAGGAAGAAAAACAAATGGAAAGCTAAACTATGTAAGCATCCAGGGAGTCTGTGAGATTAAGCAGTAAGTGCTTAGAAATGTAGCAGCAATAGTAAGTAATAATGCTATAGAAAGTATCAGTATAGTTATTTAGATGCAAGCAGTTAAGTGAAATTAGGATGTCAGTTCTCAGCTGTCAGAACAGAGATTACAGGAAGATTCTGATGAGCCTGCACATTAAATAGTTAAAAATGCTTCAAGAAATGTAACAAAGAGGCAGTTTCAAAATATTGTAGATACCAGAGAGTAAACAGTCAATGATGGTGTGATCCAAACAGAAAAAAAAGAGGCAGCTTAAATTCAGAGTTAAAGAGCGACAGCTCAAATAGGGCCAGACTCTGTTAAAAAAAAAAATGAAAAAAGAATTGACATTTGTATTTCAAATAGTAGAAATGTATAGACTCCTATAGTAATATATTAGATACTTATGAAATGATTATAGCACTTTTGCCACTGCTTGTTTTGATTATTCATTCATTTTGAGCACCTACTATGTTCAAGGCACTGATTTATCCCTATTCTAGGCTTTGGAACTTCCCATCCTCCTTTTTTAAAATTAGAAGCAATATATTGACTTGAATATTCAGATTATCTACTCTTTTATTTTTTCAATCCAATCATTATCTATGATCTGTTAGTTTTTAATGAATGTCAAAGTATATATGTTGGTGTAGAGTAGTCTGTGTGTCAGGTGATCCTCCTCCCTTAGTCTTTATGCAGGTCTAGGAGTATGATATGCATTCTCCTACCAGCTATAGTTGTCTCTGAGTTTTATTTTGGCCTTTGGTAATCTTGCATATTTAGCATTTGTACTGATACCTCTACATCTCTGCCCATCTCCACCCTGCCACCCCAGTGTCTGCATGGTTTACTTCTGGTCTGAATTATGCATTGTGCATTTACCTTTCCCTTATTGTAGTTTTCTTAGCTTTGACAGATCATCTCCTACTGACCCCAATTTAAAGTCATATTACTAGTTAACTCTGGTAGAATTTAATGTTCTGTGTCTGACTGAGGCAATATCTTTATTATAAAGCTGCTGATGGCATAACTTTACAGATCTTCAGGTGGGTCCTTGGAACTACTTCAGCACAACTCATGACCCAAAGGAGTTAATATTGTGTGTGTGTGTGTGTTTTAATGCCATTGCCATAAGATGTACTTCAGCAATCGTGTTCCATGTTTTTAACTGTCTCCTTAAATCTTACTAAACAATGATGATTCTCAACTCGTAATGTTTATCTCAGAAGAAATGGCCTTTCTATAATATGGAATTCTTTGATAGAATAATGGGGACTAATGATCACAATAAATAGAAATAAATATAGCCAACATTTATTGAATGCTTACCATGTGCCAGCATGTTTTATCTCATTTAATTATCATGAAATGATATATGAAGCTTATACTATTTAAGATAAGTAATGTTCCTCAGGTGATACAGCTAGTATGTAAAACTGTGTTGTAGGCACAAAAGTTAGAGAACCACTACCTAGGTATACATTCAAGTATTGCAAATGAGAGAGAAAATTATTTTTTTCAGAAGAAAATCTACATTTAATTAAAACTTGTTTGGTTTTGACACCTCCAAATGATCTCTACTTTTAATTTAAATTTAAAATAATTATCAATCTAAAAATATTAATAATTTGCTATTATCTGTACTATATGCACAATTTTATTTTATAAACTCGTTAGAACCCTGATGTAGACATTTACATATGACAAATAATCTATTGTCTTAGGAAAGCATGCATAATCTACAATGTCATGTTTTGTATATTTATTACACATTGCTTAATATTCTTAATAGAATGGAGACCCACAAACTCAACTTGAACTTTTGGAATGATGGTGTAGTTTTATATAACTCAGCAGAGTATCAGTATTTGATGGTAAAGAGCATAAAAGTAATAGGTTTAATATTTGCCATGACATTTTAATAAAATGTAGTTTTCGTGGAAATATAACTTCTTTATTAAAGTTATTTGAAATGGAGAAATATGACTTTCCTCATACATGTTGAGAACACATATTCTGCATGACTTCACGCCATGTATTGTAAACTCTCTACAAAGGTGTGTATTTGAGAATTTCCAGTTCTCAAGATTCCAGCAAGAGTATTCTGAAACTTTTCCAAAGGCTGTGACATAGTTCTTCTAAAGTGACCTTCTTTGACAGAAGCATCATTTTGTGTTTTTTTTGTTTGTTTGTTTTGGAGACTGAGTCTTGCTCTGCCGCCCAGGCTGGAGTGCAGTGGTGCGATCTCGGCTCACTGCAACCTCTGCTTCCCAGGTTCAAGCAATTCTTCTGCCTCAGCCTCCCAACTAGCTGGGATTACAGGCGCACGCTGCCACGCCCGGCCATTTTTTTTTGTATTTTTAGTAGAGATGGGGTTTCACCGTGTTGCCCAGGCTGGTTTCGCACTCCTGAGCTCAGGCAATGCACCCGCCTAGGCCTCCCAAAGTGTTAGGATTACAGGTGAGAGCCACCACGCCTGGCCAGATCATTTTAATGTTGATTAGAGTTAGGTATTTTATGTTTTACTTCTTTCAATGATTTGAAAGCTATTGTCATAAGTATTTTTAATATAGTTGCTGCCTCCCCATCCATTTCTGGGCCTAACATAAGTTTTTGAAATCCAATCATACCCCATCACCTTTGGCCTAGTTAAAACCTCCCCTCCCTTTGTGGGTTGTTTGTGATACAGCCCTCTTGTTCCTCTTCCCACTAACTCAAAACACAGCACACCTACAGCTGCTGACCGCGATAAAAATCCAATGATCAACAACAGAGTCACGTAAATAAGTTCCCTCTCACACGTGTTTTCTTTAAAGTAGCAAATCCACAACTCCCGCAGGAAAGCCTAAGGAATAATGCCCATGGAGGACTGTAATAAAGGCATAGTCCCACAGAGTCTCTCTCTTTCTCTGTCTCTTGACCCCCACTCGCTGGCTGAGCTCCCTGTCACCTGAACTTCCCATAGGCCTCCTGTTGGCACTCTTATCTCTGGGACATGTAAGTAATATTTTTTTATATACATTTTGATTTTCTCTCCTCGTTGTTTGTCATCTGACTGATAGAGCCAAACCTAACTTTACTCCTGTCAGGGGTCTCTTAGAGAGTGAATATCTTGGCTTATGGCTACTCTTGACAGAGAGACTTCAAGATCAAATTAGAAAGAAACTGTAACAATAAAATAACAACAGCTGCTTTTCTTTTTTTTTAGTAATATGAGTTTTATTTATACTTTATAAGAGTCTTACAAATGATAGATTGTACGTGATTATTAAAGTACACTTAATTCGTAGTAGTCAGATGACAGACTATGAGATCAAAGAATAAAAGAAATGGCAGTAATAAGCAAATGCTAATTACACAGATTATATGGATACATCTTGGATGTCAATGAAAAATGAAAAACTATCAGGTCCATACCAATGCAATAATGAAAAATTTAGTAAGACTTGGAACAAGCTAGGAGACTGAGTATATTTATCTTCTTTTACTTCTGCTCCAAATTTCTTGAGCTGAAAAGAAAGATCTATAAACAAATACCAATACTTCAATACACTAATAAATAAAATAGATTCCATAGTTATATTAGATATTCTAAGGGATTCACAAAAGGCATAAATTAGCCTGAGTTATAGCAAAAAAGAACAAAATGACTAAAGGTCCCTGTTGGAGGAAACTGCTCCAGAGGAAGGATTACTTTTAGGGGAATGGCCTTCTCAGAAGTGGATGCTGGAGGAATCGTAATGATAAATAGCTGTGGAACGGTGTTTAAAACAGTTAGGGTTGTTGATTCTTCCTTTTTCCCATGCCTGTGCTAAACCTTAGGCACCAAAGGTATTTGCACTGAGACTAAAGCAATGAATGTTTGTATGAGATTCAGAAAGTTATGAGCAAGAGTGGACAGCCACTGAGCCGCATAAGTGAAAAGAAACTATCCCCCAGACTGAAAAAAATACCAAAACTCAAGTGCAGTAAATCATGTCCCTTTCCCAAAATCATCACAGACAGGCTACAATGAGCAGAACAGTATCCACACAAGTCCATGGGGAATCTTACACGCAAAGATGAGCAAGCACTCAGTAATCACCAAGGTTTGATTGAAACCAACAGCATGAAATGGTGGCATCAAAATCAATAAAGAGGGAATGAGAAACAGGGTTAGTGTAGCAAACAGGATAATATTTTACATTAAGTGTACTGAATAATTTTAGATAAATTTGGAAGGACTTTGCATCCAGAAAATTCTTGGAAATTAAATATGATAGCTGAAATGTAAAAATGCCCCCCAAATGGAATGAATTTGGTTAAAGATAGACTAGAAAATAACAAAAAGATTTTCACAGGATGCAATGCAGAAGGACAAAAGGTTTAGAAACACAGAGTAAAACTGAGACAGAAAGAATAAATTAAGATGTTCAAACATGTATTGTTAATAAATAAGGTGCAGAGAACAAAGGTAAAGAAAAAACCAAAAGAGTAATGAAAGATTGTTTCAAAGGACTGAGAAAGATACTTTTTGCTTTTGGTGAAAGGATTCACTGAGCATGCAATAAAACGAATGAAAAAAATCAGATTCTGACAAAGTGTGGCAAAATGTCAAAATATTAAGCATAAAAATAAACCCAAAAGATGTTTACAGAGAGAAAACCGGTTTCTTGCAAAGCAAGATTGCTTGCTGTTATGGTACAATGAAGGAGATTTCTAAAATAAAAAAGAAAACTATAAGCTAATGTCATTAACAATCATATACAAAACTTTAAAAAAAACTAGTAAGTAGAATTTAGCAATATTGAAAAAGAACATATGGCTAATAGCATATACATCTTATAAATGCAAAAATAATTCAATTCAGGAAATTTATGACAGCGATGTACTGCATTACATTTTACTGAGAAGAAAAGTTCATGGTCAGTCTGGAAAAAGTTGAAAAGAAAATAGAACACAATATTTGATGTAAATTTCTAGCAAAATAAATGCACTTAGTCTGATAAGAGATGGGCTTAAGGTAAAGTATACCTATCAGAGACTCATGGAAAATATAATGATGATATGAGGTTAGAAATAATTCCATTAAAGTTAAGAACAGAACAAATATGCCAATTATCATAACTACTATTCAATATACATTGGACTTAGTTAATGATATAAGACAAGCAAAGAAACTAAAAAATTTAGTTTCTCAAGTATCTCCCTGTATTTCTACTCAATATTTCTGTAAACTTAAAGCTTCTCTAAAAATGGTTGATTGCACCAGCACTTTGGGAAGCTAAGGTGGGTGGATCACTTGAGGTCTGGAGTTCAAGATCAGCATGGCCAACACAGTGAAACCCTGTCTCTACTAAAAATACAAAAATTAGCTGGGCGTGGTGGCACACACCTGTAATCCCAGTTACTCGGGAGGCTGAGTCAGGAGAATCACTTGAACCCAGGAGGCAGAGGTTTCAGTGAGCCGAGATCACACCACTGCACTTCAGCCTGGGTGACAGAGAGAGACTCCTTCTCAAAAAAAAAAAAAAAAAAAAAAAAAAAAAGGTGATTGCAAAATACATACATTAGACATTGTTAAATGGTTATCAGAGTGTTTTTACTAATTTAAATTCCCACTGTCAGTGATTGGTATTCCCATTATTTCAAATTATTAACAACATTTGGTATTGCCAGTCTATAATTTTGGATGAATTGGTATATGTAGTGTTAGCTCATTGGGGCTTTAACTTGCATTCTCCCACTCACTGGTGACTTATAGTATTTTTCAACATTTGTTTAGTCACAAGTCAAATATTCTTTTTATTATACGCCTATTAAAGTATCCTGCCTACTTTTAAAGTTTGCATTACTTGTATTTTTTCTTATTAATTTGTAAAAGTTCTTTATAGTATCCTGTATACTACATTTATTGTATGTATTGCATATTATTGATTATATGTATTGCAAATATCCTGTCCTATCTTGATGCTTGTCTTTGCACTCAATGTTATAATTTGATGAACAGGAGTTTTTTTCTTAAGTGAAAGCCAGTTTATTAAGAAAGTAAAGGAATAAATAATAGTTACTCAATAGAGCGGCTAGGAGTTCTTAATTTTAAGTTTAATGTAGTCTTTTCCTTTATAATTAGTACATTTTGTGTCCTGTTTAAGAAATATTTATCTATTGCAAAGTCATAAAAATGTTCTCTAGCTTCATCACTTAGAAGTGTCACTATATTACTTGTCATATTTACATCTACAACCTACCCAGAATTAATTAATGTTAGTGGTGTAAAGAACCACCAAGTTTTTTAATATGTAAATCCAGCAACTCAACATCATTTATTGAAGGATGTGCCTTACACATTGCAGTGAGGAGCTATTTTTGCCATAAATGAAGAACTCACATCTACACTGGAAAGGCTCTGGATTGGGAACTTTTTCTGCATTTTGTTCTATTTCATTGGTATATTTATCTTTCTTTACTCCAGTACCAAAGTTCTAAATTGCTAAAGTTTTTAAATTGTTTTTCTTATTAACTAGTAGGATAAATTATCTTACTTTATTCTTTCTTAAGATTGTCTTGGCTATTCTTTGGCCTTTGCATCTCCATACACATTTTAGAAACAGCTTGTAATTTCCTGTAACAAATCTCTTCATATTTTGATAGGTTTTCTGTTAAATCTATAGATATATTTGAAAATATTTGACATGTTTATTATGTTGAGTCATATAATCACTGAACATGTATACTACGAATTTCTAATTTATTTAGTTTTTATCAATTTCTCTTGATAAGTTTATATTTTGTGGGTGGAGATTTTGCATATCTTTTAATTTATTACTTGGAATTTTATGTTTTTTAATGCAATAAACTAGTGAACAAGTTTAGTTTTCTATTTTTTGATATATATGGAAAATACAAATGTAAATGTTTTATATATAGTTAAAAAGAATGTGGATTTTGTATTCATTGAATTCAAAGTATTATACATCCAATCATTAATAATTTTTAAAGTGGTGCTGGTTATTGCATATATTAAGGTGAATCTTAAGATGATGCTAAGAAAAACAGCCTTTACAGAGACTTACGTTTTATATTAAAAATTTGTTTTATTTATTCTTTTTTTTTGCAAAGATATGCTTTCTTGTTTTTTGCTTTCAGAGCCTAAGGTGATGTTCTGTTCCTGCATGGGCATTAGATTCTAGCTGCAGTATGCTGCACATGTGTAGGGTTCCAGGAAGCCAACAGACCATTATGGGGCCTGTTCATACCTTAGGGCTCTGGGTTGAAGTTGCCTCTTAATTTATGACACTTTTTTGTTGTGCTTTATTCCATTTGGTCTTGGCTATGTATTAACTTTTGTTTGTTGCATTATATCTAGGATCCCTTCGTTTGAGGTAGGATATGGAATCGCATCCACTCTGATTTGTTGCCAGCAGTGTTCTCCAAGTATGCACTTCTTTCTTTTCTTTTTTCTTTTTCTTTTCTTTTATTTAATTTTATTGACATATATTAAATGTATATATTTTGGGATACATGTGATAATTTGATACACTGTTATTAAATCAAGGTAACTGGGATATGCATCACCTTAAATACTTATCTTTATGCTGGAGACATTCAAATTATTCTTTTCTAGGTATTATGAAATGTACAATTGATTAATGTTAACTATAGTCATCTTACCAATCTATTGAACATCTGATCTTATTTCTTCTAAGAGTATATTTGTACCCATTACTTCTCTTTTTCTTTTTAAAAGTCCACATAACATGATTTTTTTCAGGAGTGAAAAAAAATCTTTCACAATTACAATCTTTGTTCCTATCTATGCCAAGTTCACTAAAATGCATTCTGTTGTCAAGAATTTGTATTTTATTTTAATTTATTAAAATTAAAATATGAGTCTTTTGTCTAAGTACACTACATATGTAATTTAAGCTAGCTCAAAGAGGAGAGTGTCAAGTAAATCAAGTGGTGGCATTTTCCATAGTATGACTAATATTTGTGTTGTATATTTATCTGCATGTATTTTTAATGTAAAGTATTATCAGAAGAGAGAGGACTGAACCAATTCTTCAGGCCTATGATTTTTTTTAGCTCAGGACTTTTTCTTTGGTAGGTATGAAAATTTTTGTAGGGGCAGAAAATGATTTTGTTCTTCATAATTTCAACTTCTGAAAAGTTAGGGTTATATATCAAATATATTAGTTTTGTTCATAACCTATTATAAATTTATCATCCAAAAATTTATAGAAAGTTGTATTTTTGGGTTGTTCCACCAGTTAAAGGAATACATTTCATGAGCTTACTGCCTGCTGTGTAAATTAGCACTTTACTTTCTTTGTTTTATAACTACAGCTTTTAGGCTACCTGGGATGCCCTTTAATTCTGCTATTACAGAATTTGGTGAACAAGATTGTAGTGGATGAACATGGTTTTTAGATTCCGACCATGTGAGGAAACTGCCATATGACTGTTCAAAGAATATGATTATATTGCATTATAAGTCTATATTTAAACTGCTGAAAAAAAGGTATGACTACTTTGAAATTTTTATTTTCTGCCAGAAAACATCCAGTTTTGCAAACCAAAATAAAATTAGGCAGAGCTGTTTCAACTGTGAAATGTATTTACTGAACCCAATGGCTAGGAGAAGCAGGATCAGAGAGAAGAGCTAGAAGAGGCGAATATGACATACGGTTGGAAGCAAGAGATCCTTCGTGTAGCCTGTCAAGGTCTTCTTAAGTGGTCAAAATCTGTAATGAGAATAAGAATGATGATAGAAATACATATTTTCTTAGCATTTGATTTTTCATTGTATCTGCCCCACAAATCACCAACAATGGATCAAATTGCCCTATTTATTCCAATATCTTGAATACTGAATATTTCCTGAGAAAATACCACACTTTTGAGTATTTTATGCCACCTTAAACTGATGAACTCCAGTCTTAGTTGTCCCTCAGTGCTACCCAATTTTCTTATCACTGTCCACAATAAGCTCTGCCTCCATTTCTCTCTGTACTCATGCTACTTCCTCACCCCTACTCTCAGAATATTGCTTTCTGCTTGGGGACCAGGAGCTTCTGCTCTGCTTTGTCAGATTTTGTGTTTCCTTCCATTCTTTTCTCCTTCTGTCTGGACTCCATTTAATATGTATTTCTATTCCAATTCAAAATATCATCTGTTGGAAAGATGCCGCATGCAAATTCTAGTTACAGAGAACCATCATCTCCCTCCTGCTCTCACTTGCTTCTGTATCTAATTTAGATTCCATATTTCATTTTTAGGATTGCCTCTTATGACTACTCTCAATAACTTTTCTCCTCCTGTCTTCTCCAGTCACAGGCACTTGTAAAAGATCTAACGTAGTTTGTTCCAACTCTATCTTCTCCATGCCCTTAACAGGACAACTGAAACTTCTGGGGGAAAAAAAAATCAGCAACCTGGAATAACTGTTTTACTTTAATTACCATAAACCTGAACAACACTTAATAATGCCCAGCAATACTTTCAGGTTTCCATGATAAATCTGCTTTTCCATTCTTTGAGAGAATTATTTAAAAATGTTTCTTTTCCTCTTAACCTTCCTGAACCTTATGTACTCCCCGAAGTGTAAACTGATAGCCTTCTTCATACCTCATCAATTAAATACATGCAGATGGCAAGTGCTTCATTCTCCCATCTCTAAGTCAAACTTATCTGCATCTTCATCCATCCTCTCTCGTATTTTCTTCATTTATATTTGAAAAATTGTCCTTGTTCCTATGAAGGTCCAATTCTTTCACTTGAACTCTCATGCTCTAGTATTTCCCATTTTAATTACAAACTCCCTTCTTTGACTTCACATCCTCCACTTTGCTGCTATCCTATTTTTCTGCTGTTTTCCAAGGCAAAGCTGTATACCCGAGTCCTCTTTGTGTTTGCTCTTCAACCCACTCCAATTTGGCTTCTTCCCATACTGCTCCACTGCTGTAGTGTGGCAATCACAAATTGTCATATTTTGAAACCTAAAGGATAATCTACTATCTTCATCTTACTCGATTAGGGACATTTAACTCAGCTGACTGTTGTGCAAAAACTTTCCTTTTGGGGCCTCTCCGAAACTACAGTTGACCCTTGAACAATGCAAGGGTTAGGGGAACCAATCCCTTGCGCAGTAAAAAATCCATGCGTAACTTCTGACTCCTCCAAAACCTAACTACTATACCCTACTGCAGACCAAAAGCCTGTGCATAATATACACAGTTGATTAACACAAGTTCTGTGTGTTTTACATTTTATATACTGTATTCTTTAAAGTAAGCTATAATACAGAAAACGTTATTAAGAAAATCTTAAGGAAGAAAAATATATTTACTATTCATGAAGTGGAAGTGGATCATCATAAAGGTCTTCATCCTCACCATCTTCATGTGGTTGAGGAGGAGGAGAAAGAGAAGGGGTTGGTCTTACTGTTTCAGGGGTGGCAGAAGCAAAAGAAAATCCAAATATAAGTGGATTCACACAGTTCAAACCCATGTTGTTCAAGGGACAACTGTACTTTTACTTGAAACTACCTTCACCTGAAGCTACTTTCTAAGTTCTTCTCATCTGGCCACTTTTTCAGTCTTTTTAATTGTATCCTCCACTTATCTTCATCTCTAAATGTTTGGTTGCTCCAGGGCCTCCATAGGCTTCCTTCTTTCTGTCCTCTCCTTAAGTGACCAAGTCTAATGTCAAATTTGAAATACAATCTATAACTAATAACTCTGACTTGTGTATCTTAAACCCTGGTTTCCATTCTGACTTGTAGATTCAAATATTCAACTACCTCTTTGACATTCTCCCTTGGATGTCAGTCATCCTAAGCTTAATTTATCCAAATGTTATTTCATATTTCCCCCACTCCAAAAACAATTTCTTTATGAATTTCCCAGTTATAATTAAAGACAATATGTTTTACACAGTTTTTACACCAGAAACAGGCAACTCTTCCTTAGTTCTACTCTCTAATTTATCCTCTTCATTCAACCTGTCAGCAATTCTTGTTGATGGAAACATCTACTACTTTCATGTTTATGATATTGGTGGTATCCTCCTAGATGTGCCCCCTTGTGCATATGCAACCTGTGCAATCATGCTGGTTGGTCCTTGTTGTACTCATTAAAATATATCTCAAAATTGATTACTCCCTTACGTTTACTGCCACCATGATTTTTCACTTGGACTACTGATGTTGCTTTCCAGTTGGACCTGCTATGTTTCCTTCATTTCATTTCACATGCAATTGTCAGCATGATCTCTTAAAAATATAAAGTGTGTCATATTGCATTCTTGATTAAATGGTTTAATTGATTTTGTGAATCCTTATAAACTCCCATATGATCTGACTCCTACTATCAGACCTCATCATGACCACTGTCTCCTTGCGGGTCTCTTTCCAAGTTCCTTTCCACTTTAAATCTTCTGTTCTCTTTACCTACAATATTATTTCCTGGGTCTCTCAACATGCCTAAATGCCTTTTCTTTTTCAATTGTGAGCCCACAAATTACTGCCTCTGAGAGGTAGTTCCTGCTCAACCAATCTAAAAAATTAGCCAGGCGTGGTGGCAGGCGCCTGTAGTCCCAGCTACTTGGGAGGCTGAGGCAGGAGAATGGCGTGAAGCCGGGAGGCGGAGCTTGCAGTGAGCCGAGATCGCGCCACTGCACTCCAGCCTGGGCGACAGAGCAAGACTCCGTCTCAAAAAAGAAAGAATTACCCCCTCCTACTCACAGGCTTCTCTGCTGTAGGAAAGTGACTATTTCCTTCATAGCATTTATCACAATCTCTTATTAATGCAAACATCACAGACTTTTTTATTTACTTGTTTATCTTCTGTCATCGTGTGAGATTCATAATATGGGGAAATTATTTCGTTTACCTTCTATCCTTAGCTCCTAGGATAGTGTCTAGGATAGAGGCTTGTCAAATATTTTTTAAATCAATTATTTTGTTCAGTGGATCTATGACACTGTGCATCCGTCACAGAAGTATTATTATCTCTTTTTAAAAAATTTAGACTCAGCAAAATTAGATCACTTGTCCAAGGATATATTACTGGATCATGACTGACTCAGATTTCAGGGAGTGAAAGGCTGTTTCCCCTGGGCTGCGTTTGATAATACGATTTCCAGAATGGTTGAGGGAAATCATGTTAAGACCTTGTAGAACTATCCACTATTTGTTTGACATAAATGACTAGAGCAAAAATCAGAAAACCCGTTCCTTTGGACACATAGCACCATGAAGAAAAACATAATATCTGCTTTTGATGAAGCATAGGAGATGGTGCAGGGCATTGACAAATCACCTGGCTTATATTAGGCAGGGTATCATTTAGCTGTAGCAAGCTCTGTAAGAAACAACCAATGAAGGAATTGGTGGGGAGGGATAGATAGATGGTGGTATAAGATAAGTGACAACTGGCTATGCCGTGAGGTCATGTAGATAGCAATAGAAAAGATAAGGCCATTTGGGGACAGTACTGGGAGGCAAGCGAACCTAAGAGGTTCTGGCAAGTACTTAATAGTAGAAAATTAGTTATCATAAGCAGGGACAACCCACAAACTTGTAAATCCAAGCAGTAAATCAGCGTTTGAGTTAAGATTTCCTTGAATCTCTGGAGAAAGGAACTCTGGTGCCACTGAAAGCTGATTTAGAAAATAAAATGAATCAAAATTTCAAATATCAATAAGTTAAATGAATATAATGGAAACAGTAATAGACAATAGAGCTGAGACCCCCAATCCTTTGGCAGAGGGAGTTTGGCTGTTGTGAGAACCCTGATTTGCATAGGAAAGCAGATAGAGCCCCTGTTGCCAAGAGATCCTAATAAAGTATATTAGGGACACAAAATTATTCCTTCTGGCCACAGCTGTTAGAAGAAAATAGAACGTAGTGGTCTTAGTAATATCAATGCATTCATTCTCACTTTGAACAAATGTCATCTTTATGGTAAGTTTTCCTAGTAATGTTTCTTACCTATTCTGTTATTTTTGTAATTACTTTTGTGTAGTAAAACCAAAGATGATTGACAGTTACTGATTTTAGTGTCATCACCAATCAGTATTTTAGGATCTCTTGGCCACTTGATACATTCCTCTTATAGTAGCAATTTCCCAAAATCACATGTATAAAGTTCTGTAAAATCATGTATAAACTGACACAAAACTGCAGATCATATTACTTTGTCTTTCCAAAACTCTTCCTCCCCTTTTGTTTGTTCTCCTAAAGTAGACCTAAACTGTCTTTGCTGCCTAGGAAGGTTAATTTCATATGTCAACTCAGTTGGCTATAATGCCCAGTTGTTTAGTCAAACACTTCAAACACTTGTCTAGATGTTGCTGTTAAGATGTTTGTAGATGTCATTAAGATTTACAATCAATTGTCTTTAAATGACGAAGATTACCCTCCATAATGTGTGTGGGTCTCTTCTGATCAATTGAAGGCCTTAAGAGAAAAAACTGAGATTTCCTGGAGAAAAAGGAATTCTACTTCAAGACTGAAGCATAGAAATTCAGCCTGAGTTTCTAGCTTGCTAGCTTTCCTAGTGTATTTTGGACATGCCATTCCCCTTAATTGCATGAACAGATTCCTTAAAATAAATAAATGTGTGTGTGGGTGTGTGTGTGTGTGTGTGTACACACACATATATCCAATTGCCAATTGGTTTTATTTCTCTAGAGAACCCTGATTGCTATGCTACCCTTGTGCGGATATTACTAGGCACTTATGTTCACTTGGACTTTTGTTTCAGGAATAAATGCATTACATATGTCTATAAAAGTAAATGTTTTCTCTGTTGGTTTTTAATAACTTTATTGAAGAAATTTTTTTTTTTTTTTGAGACGAAGTCTCACTCTGTCACCCAGGCTGGAGTGCAGTGGCACGATCTCGGCTCACTGCAACGTCCGCCTCCTGGGTTCAAGCAATTCCCTACCTCAGTCTCCCGAGTAGCTGGGAATACAGGTGCCCGCCAACACGCCTGGCTAATATTTGTGTTTTTAGTAGAGACGGGGTTTCACCATCTTGGCCAGGCTTGTCTTGAACTCCTGACCTAGTGATCCACCTGCCTAGGCCTCCCAAAGTGCTGGGATTACAGACGTGAGCTACCTCACGGGGCCAACAATTTAAACAGATAGTAACACTACAATGTATCAACCTCTTTGAGAAGCAGTCTATAGTACATTTTTGATAACTTTCTGGGATTGTAACTAATGACATTGTCTAAACTGTGCCCAAAAGTTTACATTTATTTTTTTCTTACAGCTTAATTATCCTCTGTGATCCACACTAAAGTATTTTGAAGAATAACAAAGCTCTCCAAGGGTCTTAATACAGGTACAGTGCAACAAGTCACGCATTTAATGAATACTGGATCATAATGGATAGCTCATTACTAACTGTATGGGTTTACATGGTTTTTTTACTCATATTGAAACTCACTTGCCATTTTATTTTTTCACACACACACAGAGCATGATAGTTTTGCAAATTGTTTTTATTGGGGTGATATTTTACTATCTTCTGCAAACCAAAGAAATGTATTTATACCGTTTTATTGTGAGTACTCATGAAATTCTGATCCCTTGCGGAGCCAATAGTTTGAACTCTATTATCTGGAAGAACTACTGTTTTCTTCTCATTGATATCTCATTAAAACTCAATTGTCTTTCTATGACCAAACAATCATGTCTCTAAATTCCTGATGTGCTGAAATTACATTTTTATTGACGTGGTCTACTCAACTTTACAACCATCTTTTGGGCACCCAACAAATGTTAATTGCCTAGATAACCATTGAGTATACAGAGATAAAAAGGAACTCAGAATAAGATCAAAGTCTAGTTGTTAAATATTTTCTAAACTAAATAAATCACATTTACTTGTTTTTAACATGCTTATTTTATATCTTGAGATAGTCAGACCTGATTTCTTGCCATGTTACTTCTCTTTTTAAGTTTATGCCTGCTCCAGCATACTCTGAATTTACATTTATTATGAATTCAATCAGCTTTCCTGGTATGAAAGTAAGATTCATTGGTCTGTGGCTCCTTGGTAGCTTCTGAAATTCTTATTGATAGAGGTATCATTAGTGTTTCGATGGGTTTCCTGCATAACAAATAGTCTGATTTAAGAAGCAAGTAAACTGATGATTTTTCAAAGGCATAAAGAAGATATTTTGTTTCCCCAACAGGGAAGGGTTATTTATTAGTTCAGACAAACAGTTTTCACTAACACTGGTGTTAATGTTATAAAAGCCAAACAGCATGTTTTAAGTGGCTTTTAAATATTAAAGAAAAATTTTAAAGGAAGCATTAAGTAACATGAAGATATGTAATATGATACACTAACTATAATATGCATCTGTGATTCAGACATGTAATATATTTATATATAATTTATTTACAAGGCATAATTCACCAATAGTAATAATAATTTTGACCTAAAAAATTAAATAATGGATTAAGGTAAGAAAACAATCTAGCTTGAACAAGGTTTTGTACATTAATAAAATAGAAACATAAGAAAGAGTAATAGAGAAAATACATTGTGCTTTAATGCACATAACTGAGATGTAGTGGGATGATTCTTATAATGAATGTCAAAATTAATAGGTGCAGTATGCGTGGGACAGATAAAAGAAAAGAAGGGTGGCAGTTTGTGCCAAAAACATTTACTAAGCAATTGAGAGTTCTTTAGAAATAGGCAAAAGGCGAAAATAGTTTGAATAAGCCCTTTAAGCAAAGAAAAGGAAGTGCTACCCAAAAACCTTGTATTGAATTTAATTCACATATCAGTTTTGTGGACTGTTTTTCTCAAGAGGTGTCTTTTCTGATTTCCTGCTACTTCTTGGAGCTCTGGAAAGGACTGGGTAGAATAGTCAACTGACCATCTCTTATTTTACTATTTGAAGAGAGGCCCATGTAACAGTGGAAGGATTCTCAGGCTATTTTGCCATCCTGTGCAGTTTCCAGTATGTGCCCACCTTTGGTTATGTTAATCAGGTTGGGATCAAGCTGCTTCTGGCTTTCATCACTTATCTTTCAAATACTCAAATTTATTCTTCCAGCAGATTGTTCTCTCCCAAACCTTTAACTTACCTCATTGATCAGACTGTCTGCCTGCCTTAGCTCATGCACTTTTGTATGTCTGAACTATACTAAGCTTTTAATTGCACTTTAAAAAATCCTATTCTCCCTTCAAATACTCACTATCTGTATCCTCCCTTGTGAACTTCTCTGTAACCTCCATTTCCCCCAGCCATACTGACTGTTCTGTTTTCTCTGGTCTCATAAAATTAATGTCTGGATTACTCATCAGTTATTAACCTGGGTCTTAGGAAGCAGCAGGCTAAGAAAGCAGATTGGGGACCAAGAACTGAAACTGGGTATCCATAAAATATAGAGATAAAACTAGGGAAGTAAACAAAAATAAAACAGAGAGAGAGAAAGTTCAAAGTATATATAAACAACCAAAAGGTCAGTAGGATTTAAAGAAGAATGTCAGTGTAGCTATCAAAAGTCCAAGGAGAGATTGTCTAAGACAATCTCAGCTTTTCATTTCTTCAATTAGCTTTAAAAAATTAGTTTCCAGTGAGTTATAGTTCATACTTTTTCTGTGTGTGTGCGTGTGTGTGTGTGTGTGACTTGTTGCATTGTACCTGTATTAAGACCCTTGGAGAGCTTTGTCATTCTTCAAAATACTTTAGTGTGGATCACAGAGGATAATTAAGCTGTAAGAAAAAAATAAATGTAAACTTTTGGGCACAGTTTAGACAATGTCATTAGTTATAATCCCAGAAAGTTATCAAAAACGTACTATAGACTGCTTCTCAAAGAGGATGATACATTGTAGTGTTACTATCTGTTTAAGTTGTCTGCAGGGCGCAGTCGCTCACGCCTGTAATCCCAGCACTTTGGGAGGCCTAGGCAGGTGGATCACTAGGTCAGGAGTTCAAGACAAGCCTGGCCAAGATGGTGAAACCCCGTCTCTACTAAAAATACAAAAATTAGCCAGGCGTGGTGGCGGGCACCTGTATTCCCAGCTACTTGGGAGGCTGAGGTAGGAAAATAAAGAGTGTTAACTCTTTATTTAATTTAGTTTAATTAATTAATTAATTAATTTTTTTATTATTATACTTTAAGTTTTAGGGTACATGTGCACAACATGCAGGTTTGTTACATATGTATACATGTGCCATGTTGGTGTGCTGCACCCATTAACTCGTCATTTAGCATTAGGTATATCTCCTAATGCTATCCCTCTCCCCTCCCCCCACCCCACGACAGTCCCCGGTGTGTGATGTTCCCCTTCCTGTGTCCATGTGTTCTCATTGTTCAATTCCCACCTATGAGTGAGAACATGCAGTGTTTGGTTTTTATACTTTTTGCTGCCACAAAGCACCCAACACTAGCAGTTTACTTAGTAGGTGATCAATACATTTTTGAGTGAATGCATGAATGAGTAAATCAAGTGATTCTTCCCATATTTGCAGAAGAATGTTTAGCATTCAGGATAACTGAACAGAAGGCTTATTCAATTCTCATTGAGAACCTAAGCTTGCTGATGTGTTTATTTACAGGGAGATTTTTCAAAGAATCATAAACATTAGAGCTTGAAGAAGATCAAGCTGTCATCAAATCCTTTCATTCTACTAATAAAGACTTGTTCAGGGCTAGTGATGGAGAAATGCATAAAAGTATCCATGACAAGCCCCCCCTTAAGTTCCTAATGAAAAATGATAATTTAACATAATCAGGGAACGATGTTTTTATTAACTCAGATCAACAAATAGTCACAAGTACATTTTTGGTGCCCCCTAAAAAAGCATTGTGCTAGGTGCTGGGATATGAAGGAAACATACACGAAACCCACTATCAAACAGGCGATATTATAATTCTTAAACAAGAAAGTGGTAGTCTTTATGTTTGTTTCCTAAGACATTTTAATTGAATTTCTATAGCTTCGATACTTGTTATCAGTATAAGTACCCTCAGCAAGGGTAGTTAAGTTTTGGATGACCTAACCATGGAGACTTATCATTTATATCATGGGGATATTGGATCAGGAAAGGATAGGATTTTAATTCTGCCCCTGTGAATATCATTCTGCATTTTCTAGATACATGCTGCTTCTAGTGTGCTGTTTAGAGAAGTGCACCTGAGCTTCTGTTTGTTTTATTTAAATGTGTGTCTTATCTGTGTGTTGTAGATCTTCCATGTGGTTTCATGCACCATTACAGTAATTTCTGCTATTTCCTTCTTAGGATTCTATTCTTCGCCATTTTCTTTATTATGAAATTTTTCAAACATACAAAATGTTTTGAAATTATAATATCATCAGTCACTAATGTAAAGGTTAGAGCATTAAAAATATATTTAAATTTCTGTGTTTGCCCTCAAAGACTAATAGAAAACACAACAGAAAAACAAGAGCTAAAGTCAACTGCTGCTAAGAACCATTGTAGTAACAAGCATCAGACATTACTGAGGCCTAATTTGTCTTTGTTACTGGGGCTATAAGAAGAATTTGTATATACCTTCTGGCTTATTTTAATCTAATTTTGTGGGATATATCTATAAGAGGTCTATTAAAAATTCAAGAATGTGAAATAGGTTTCACATAATGCTTCAGCAGTGATAGATTGATAATAGTTGTTTGGAGAGCTGTGTTAAAAAGACTCTACCCAACGACTTAGCCAGAAAGAGTATCAAGAATGACTAATGATGTCTGTCATGGGTACAACAGGAGGAAATAAAACACTCGTACTGTGTTTGGGTGATATGTCATTGTCTAAGAGCCTTGTAAGTGGTATAGGCACTGAAGCCCAAAGTGACACACTAGAATAGTCAACATGGAAGAGGTAACATGTGAGCTGGGTCTTGAAGAAAGAGGAGGTCCTTAAATTAACTAAGAGTTGATTTAAGCGCATAGAAAGAGGATAAGCAGAGATGAAAATATGGCAATGTGTGTGATATTTTAGGGATTCTAAGCAGACTTTTAAAGGTAGAATAGGAAAAAAAACGTGGTGAACTGTGTAAAATAGAATGGCCTTTCATCTAATTTTCTGCTTACACTCAAAGACTGAGCATGAAATAATTACATGGCAGATATTCCCATATCCCAAATTAAAATATTAGGCCACCTTAGCACGATTTGCAAATACGTTATCTCAGAACTGGTTTTGACAACCTTAATCCTCCCTCCACACATAGCCTTTACAAGAGGTTATAAAAGCTAGCAAAAAGTTGGAGTTTAGAGAGTATCCCCTCATGAGGATGCAGGGGCTTGCTGCGTCCTCTCCTCTCCTCAAATGCCAGGGGCTTCAATCAGAAAGCTTGGTGTGAGACAGAGCATACCTCTGGATGGTATCATCCAAGCTGTGTCTCATTCAAACATGACTGTCTGTCTCTCCTGGAGATCCTGTAAGCTGTTTGAGGGCCACAGAGGACAAGTGTTATAAACACATCTGAGAAATGTAAAGATGAGAGGCTAAGTCTAGAGTTCCTTTCTCTGACTGTAGAAAAACATTGTATTGACTGTATTTGTTTAACTTGCATTTCCACGAATTACTAAGTATGAAGTTTGTGTAAGTATTTCCCAAGGGCCAATAATGGTCTAGATGAGCGACATCTAGCCTAGCATTCTCTTAGATCCTATCTAAGAAGCCCACGTGGGTAGGTGAAGAGACCTAGGCAGAAACAGGTGGAAGATGCACTGGAAAATTTTCAGGAGTAAAGGAAGACTGAAATAGCCGTTTTGAGGAGGTGCATTCACCTCATAAATACAAATGTAGGTGATTTTTTTTTTGTGTGATGATGGGAAGAGTGGTCTCTGGAGAATGCTGCACACTCCAAGTATTGGTTAGAATTCTTCATTGTAAGGTTAAGCAGACAGGAATAAATTATAAGTTATGATTTAGTTACACACCCTTGATTGTTCTAGGAAACCAATTTTGAATAATACAAAACTAGGACCATAAAGCAGTGAGGGCAAATACCCAACCTCATCACAGAAATGATTTTTGTATCAGAAAAAACTGTTGCTGTCTCGCAGAGATAATTTATATTTTATAATGTTGGACCAAATGCCCGAACTTCTACCAGAACCATCCTGAAGAATCAAAGGTCTCTGCTTATGAGAAGAACCCATCTCTCCACTCATGGCTGCTACCTGCTGTTGCTTTTTCCCTGGCTAGCAAGGAGCTTAAGGCATGTCTAGCATCCTACATGCAAATTAATGGTAATGCAGCTGTTTAGTGTTCTGGTCTGGGTACTGTAGGAAGGAAATTCAAAAAAGTTGGTGTAGGCATTGAGCAAGTGAAGTATGTGGTAGCAGTGAAGTATCTACCACATACTTCACTTGCTCAGTGCCTACACCAACGTCTTTCTTGAAGTATGTGGTAGCAGTACCTATCATATATATATATTGGTGTGAGACAGAGCATACTTCTGGATGGTATCATTCAAGCCGTGTCTCATTCAGACATGACTGTCTGTCTCTCCTGGAGATTCTGTAAGCTGTTTGTGGGCCACAGAGGACAAGTGTTATAAACACATCTGAGAAATGTAAAGATGAGAGGCTATATACTATATATATTGACATCTTTATTATTTCTAAATATGTCTATTACTGGTAATAGTCCTTGATCTGAACTCTATTTTGTTTGATAGTAATATAGTTAATTCAGCTGTTTTGTGATTAGTTTTTGCACGGTGTTTTTTTCATCATTTAGCTTTTAAAATGTGTCTTTATATTTAGAGTAATAGACTTCACCTATACATATTAATGCTAATGTACTATATACTATGTCTGTATGATCTATCTGTTTCTCCTCTCTCCCTCCTCCCTTCTGTCTCCAAATGGGCATTCTCTACATTTTATTTGGAGTCTTGGAACCTTTTATATTTAATGGAATTCGTTGAGTTTAAATCTATTATATTGTTATTTGATTTCTATTTGTCCCTTCTGTTCTTTTTCTCTTTGCTTGCACTCTCTTTTTGATGAATTTTTTATTTTTTATTTTTTAGTATTCTATTTTATCTTTACTATTGGTTTTTAGCTCTTGCTTTTGTTTTATTTTACATTTTAGGGATTGATCTAGGGTTCCAATATGCGTCTTAACTTATCACAGTCTACCTCAAATAACATTGTACTACTTACATATAACTTAAGAATCTTAAAAGAGCACAGATCCATTTCCTGCTCCTGTCCTTTAAATGGTATTATGAAAAAATTTTCTTTTACATATGTTATAAACCCTACAATATATTGTCATTTTTTTTTATTTAAAGAGTAAATTTATCTTTTTGTTTTTGAACTAATTTTAGACTAACAGAAATGTTGCAAAAAATAGTGTAGAGATTTCCTATATATTTATTTCCCAGCTTCTCCTAGTGTTAACATTCAACATGACATGGTGCAATTCTCAAGACTGGGTATGTAACATTTATATGATACTATAACTAAATGACAAACCTTATTAGAATTTTGCCAGTTTAAAAAATTGTAAAACGAGAAAGACTTTATATTAGTCAACATACCGGTCACTTCTGGTGCTTTTTATTCCCTTGTATAGTTACAAATTTCTACTTGATATTTTTTTCTGCCTGAAGAACTTCCTTTATCATTCCTTACAGTGCAAATCTGCTAGTAATAATTTTTCTCAGCATTTCTTTGTCTAAAAGATTTTTAAGATTTTTAAAATTGATTTTTAAAATGATATTTTCACTGGATATAGACTTCTAGGTTGACAGATTTTTTTTCCTTTGAGTCCTTTTAAGATATTACTCCATTATCTTCTAGTTTTCATTTCTGAGCGTATGTGCATGAAGTATGTAATCACTCTTTCCTTGTTCCTCTTATGTACTGTGCCTTTTGCCTTTTAAGAGTTTCTTTTTATTATTGGTTTTCAGCAATTTAATTATGATGCCTGTTGGTGTGCTTTTCTTTATGTTCATTATGCTTGGGGTTTATTTAATCCCTTAAACCTGGGATGTAAAAATTTGAACATTTCAGCAATTATTTCTTCAAAACTTTTTTCCTGGCATCTCCCTTTTCCTTCTCTCCTGGGACTTCAAATTTCTAGTTATAATTTCCCCCACAGGTCACAAAAAACTCGGTTCCTTTTTTGAGTATTTATTATTTATGTTTTATTTTGAAAAGTTTTCTTCACTAGGTATTTGAATTTACTGATATTTGTTTCTGCAATATTTAATGGCTATTAATCCCATTCACTGAGTTTTTCATTTCAGAAGTTATGTTTCATATCCAGAAATTCTATGTGATTTAAAAAATATATTCCATTTCCCTCTTTATTTTATTCATGGTTTCCTTTAGATTCCATCACCTAATTTCATCGTCTTTTTTATTGCTGGATCTGAGTTTATTGACTGGTAGTTAGGAATTTCATTTTTCATATTTTTCTGCCTTTTTTATATCTAGTAATTTTACTAGATGCTGTACCTGTGAATTTTTCATTGCTATTGCTGGATTTTGTTTTCTTCTTTTAAAGGGTGTTGAATTTTGTTCTGGAAGACAATGTTATATGGAAATAATTTTTTTCATTTATTTAGTTTAGTTTTGAAGATATTTAGAATATATTTGAAATAGCCTTTTATCTAAGAATTGTTCAGTCCCACTGCTAAGCTGTGGACTTCTGTATCTCTGCTTCATACTTTAGGAGTTAACTTGAACTCTATTCTGGCTGAAGGGAGCGTGAATATTTCCCAGCCTTATATGAGCTCTGGAAATTAAACCTACAGTTTCCAGTTATTGTTTTCTCAGTCTTATTTAATTTCATCATGTGTGAGCACAAATTAATATTTATCAATATACTTAAGAGCGAACCTAGGCAGATTTTTGTATCCTTTTTCCTGTATTGCTCCCTGTCTTCTGGAAATTTGCCCTACAATATAAATCTCTTTTATATTTCCAAACTCTGATCTTTGTCTCCTCAACCCAGTATGATTGTTTCATCTCCTTGTTCATAAAGTGCTTCCAGAGAGAAAGCAATTGTTTTATTCCCCTAAAAATCTCAATCCTGTATCGTAAAGACATCATACAATGTCTAAAATGTTTTTCTTTTTTACCTTTATGGAAAAGCTTTATATTTCTTTATTTATGGTGGGCCATTTAGTATGGCCCCAGTCCATGATGGACAGAATAAGATGTTCATTGGATAATTTTATACAGCGGAGTAACATGATGTATCTTGCATTTTTAAAGTGTCATTCTAGCTGCTTTCTAGAGAATAGATTTTTGAAGATCAATGTGATTGTAGAGAGATCTTTTATAAGGCTGTTACAGTTTCACAAGAGTGTGATGATGATTTTAGGATGTATTTTGCAAGAAGTGATTGGCTATATTTAGTTTGTATTTGTGAGATGGGACTGATATTTTTTTGATGACTTGGATGAGGTGGGGGTGGTAGGAGAGGAATCAAGAGAAAAATCAAGAATGATCTCCAAGTTTTGTTATGAGCAACTGGGTGAGTAGGGATGTAAGGATAGGAGTATGTTTTAAGGGAGCAGGAGAGTCAAGACTTTTTTGTACAATTTAACTTTAGCAAGCCTGTCAGGAATCCAAATTAGATTCAGAAGTAAATTTTCTGGAAGATAAGGATTTAACAGTTTTGGAGATTTTGATATACTGACATTCTTTGTGAATTTTCTTTCAATAACAGCTTTATTAAGATACAATTTACATACCATAAATTCATAAAGTGCACCATTCAGTGATTTTCAGCATATTCTATTCACACAGTTGTACAACCATCACTACTATCTAATTCCAGAACATTGTTATCATTCCAAAAAGAAACCCCATATCCAATAGCAGTCACTCTGCATACAATATGTGGCTTTTTGTGTCTGACTTCTTTCAACTAGTATAATGTTTTCAAGGTTCATCCACGTTGTAAGCATAGACCAGAACTTCATTTCTTTTTATGTGTGACTGACATTCCATTGTATGAATATACCACATTTTGTTTATTCATTCATCGGTTGGTGAACATTAGGTTATTTTCATTTTTTGACTCTTATGAGTAATGCAGCTGTGAACATTTATGTACAAGTTTTTGTGTGGATAAATGTTTTCAGTTCTCTTGAGTATATACTTAAGAGTGAAATTGTCAGGTCACACGGTAATGTCATGTGTAACTTTTCGAGGAATTGCCAAAGTGTTTTCCAAAGTGTCTGCACTATTTTACATTCCTACCAGTAATGTGTGAGGGTTCCAATTTCTCTGCATTCTCACGAATAGTTATTATCTATCTATTTGATTACAGCTATTCCTGTGGGTGTGAAGAAGTATCTTACTGTGGTATTGACTTGCATTTTACTGATGGCTAATAATGTTGAGCATCTTTCCATGGTCATGCATATTGACCATTTTTATATTTTCTTTGAAGAACTGTTTATTCAAATTCTTTGTCCAGTATTTGTATTTTTTTTAAGTGGTTGAGTTGTGAGTGTTCTTAAATCTGGATATGAGTCTGTAATGAGGCATATAATTTGCAAATATTTTCTTCCATTTTTGAGGTTGTCGTTCACTTTCTTTTAAAAAAATTATTTTTTGATTAATTTTTTTTATTCCGATAGGTTTTTTGAGAACAGGTAGTGTTTGATTACATGAATAAGTTCTTTAGCCTTGATTTCTGAGAGTTTGGTGCACTCATCACCTGAGCAGTGTACACTGTATCCATTGTGTAGTCTTTTATCCCTCAACCCCCTCCCACCCTTTCTCCTGAGTCCCCACAGTCCATTGTATTATTCTTATGCCTTTGCATCCTCACAGCTTAGCTCCCACTTATTAGTAAAAACATACAATGTTTTTATGAGCTACTTCACTTAGAATAATGGCCTCCAATTGCATCCAGGTTGTGGCAAATGCCATTATTTTATTCCCTTTTATGGCTGAGTAGTATTCCATGGTATATATACTACAATTTCTTTATCTACTCATTGATTGATGGGCATGTGGGCTGGTTCCATATTTTTGCAATTGTGAATTATGCTGCTATAAACATGTGTGTACAAGTATCTTTTTCGCATAATGGCTTCTTTTCCTTTGTGTAGATACCCAGTAGTGGGATTGCTGGATCAAATGGTAGTTCTACTTTTAGTTCTTTCAGTAATCTCCACACTGTTTTCCACAGTGGTTGTACTAGTTCACATTCCCACCAGCACTGTAAAAGTGTTCTCTTTTAACCACATTCACACCAACATCTATTATTTTTTGATTTTTTGATTATGGCCATTCTTGCAGGAGTAAAGTGGTATTTCACTGTGGTTTTGATTTGCATTTCCCTTATCATTAGTGATGTTGAGCATTTTTTCATATGTTTGTTGGCCATTATTATATCTTCTTTTGAGAATTGTCTATTCGTGTCCTTAGCTCACTTTTTGATGGGACTTTTTTTTATTTTCTTGCTGATTTGTTTCAGTTCCTTGTAGACTCTGAATATTAATCCTTTGTCAAATGTGTAGACTGCAAAGATTTTGTCCCACTCTGTGGGTTGTCTTTTTGCTCTGCTGATTGTTTCTTATGCTGTGTAGAAGTTTTTTTTTGTTTAAGTCCCATCTATTTATCTTTGTTTTTGTTACATTGGCTTTTGCGTTCTTGGCCATGAAGTCTTTGCCTAACCCAATGTCTAGAAGGATTTTTCCAATGTTATCTTTGATTCAGCTTGAGTTAATATTTGTATAAGGTGAGAGATGAGGATCCATTTTTATTGTTCTGCATGTGGCTTGCCAATTATCCCAACAACGTTTGTTGAGTATGGTGTGCTTTCCCCACTTTATGTTTTTAAGTTTATGTGAGTCCTCAGAAACACAGCAGATAAAGACATAAAGACAGCAGATACCTGGTTGGCAAATTCTTATTCATTCTGCCATTCTATATCTTTTATGCGGAGCTTTTAGGCCATTTAGATTCAATGTTAGTATTGAGATATGAAGTACTCTTCTATTCATTGTGCTGTTTGTTGCCTGAATACCTTGTGTTTTATTCATTGTGTTACTGTTATATATGTCCTGTGAGATTTATGCTGTAAGGAGATTCTATTTTGGTATATTTTAAGGCTTTGCTTCAAGATTTCAAGCTCCTTTTAGCAGTTCTTAAAGTGAAGACTTGGTAATGGCGAATTCTCTCAGCATTTGTTTGTCTGAAAAAGACTACCTTTCATTCATTTATGAACCTTAATTTCACTGGATACAAAATTCTTGGCTAATAATTCCTTTGTTTAAGGAGGCTAAAGATAGTGCCTTTAGCCTCCTGTAGGGTTTCTGCTGAGAAATCTGCTGTTAATCTGATAGGTTTTCCTTTATAGGTCACCTGAGGCATTTGCCTCATAGCTCTTAAGATTCTTTTCTTCATCTTGACTTTAGATAACCTGATGACTATGTACCTAGGCGATGAATCTCCCAGGTGTTCTTTGAGCTTCTTGTATTTCATTGTCTAGATTTCTAGTAAGGACAGGAAAATTTTCCTTGATTATTCCCTCAAATATGTTTTCCAAACTTTTATGTTTCTCTTCTTCCCCAGGAATACCAGTTCTTCCTAGGTTTGGTCGTTTAACATAATCCCAAACTTCTTGAATGCTTTGTTCATTTTTTAATATTCTTTTTTCTTTGTCTTTGTTGGACTGGGCTAATTTGAAGGCCTTGTCTTTGAGCTCTGAAGTTCTTTCTTCCACTTGTTCTATTCTATTGCGAAGGCTTTCCAGTATATTTTGCATTTCTCTAAGTGTGTCCTTCATTTCCAGAGTTGTGATTGTTTTTCCTTTATGCTATCTATTTCACTGAAGATTTTTCCCTTCATGTCTTGTTTTCCTTTTTTTTTTTTTTTAGATGGAGTCTCTTGCTCTGTCACCAGGCTGGAATGCAGTGGTGCAATCTTCGCTCACTGCAACCTCTGCCTCCAGGGTTCTCCTGGCTCAGCCTCCTGAGTAGCTGGGATTGCAGTCGTGCACCACCATGCCCAGCTAATTTTTGTAGTTTTAGTAGAGATGGAGTTTCACCATGTTGGCCAGGATGGTCTCGATCACCTGACCTCATGATCTGCCCACCTTGGCCTCTCAAAGTGCTGGGATTACAGGCTTGAACCATGCACCCAGCCATCTTGTATTATTATTATTTTTTATTTCATTAAGTTGGACTTCACCTTTCTCTGGTGCCTCCTTGATTAGCTTAATAATCAACCTTCTGAATTGTTTTTCTGGAAATTCAGAGATTTCTTCTTGATTTGGATCTATTGCTGGTGAACTAGTTTTGATCCTTTGGGGCTGTTAAAGAACCTTGTTTTGTCATATTACAAGAATTGTTCTTCTAGTTTCTTCCCATTTGGGTAGACCGTGTGAGAGGAAAGATCTGGGGCTCTGGGGCTCAGGTGCTGGTGTTCAGATTCTTTTGTCCCATGGGGTATTCCCTTGATGTGGTTCTCTCCCCCTTCCCCCAGGATGTGGCTTCCTGAGAGCCAAACTGCAGTGATTCTTTTTTCTCTTCTGGATCTAGCCACCCTGCAGAGCTACTAGGCTCTGGGCTGGTACTGGGGAGTGTCTGCACAGAGTCCTGTGATGTGAACTGTCTTCAGGTCTCTCAGCCATGGATACTAGCACCTGCTCTGGTGGAGGTGGCAAGCAAGTGAAGTGGACTCTGTGAGGGTCTGTAGTTGTAGTTTTGTTTATTGCACTAGTTTTGTGTTGATTGCCTCCAACCAGGAGGTGGTGTTTTCAAGAGATCATTAGCTGTGGTAGTATAGGGAGGATCAGGTGGTGGGTGGGGCTCAAGAGCTCCCAAGAGATTATGTCCTTTGTCTTTGGCTCACAGGGTGGGTAGAGAAAAACCATCAGGTGGGGGCAGGATTAGGCATGTCTGAGCTCAGACTCTCCTTGGGTGGGGCTTGCTGTGGCTGCTGTGGTGGATGGGGGTGTGGTTCTTAGGCCAATGGAGTTATGTTCCCAGGGAGATTATGACTACCTCTGCTGCGTCATGCAGGTAGCCAGAAAAGTGAGGGAAAACTGGCAGTTACAGGTCTCACCCAGCTCCCGCACAGCCCAAAGGGCTGTTCTCACTCCCACCGTGGCCCTCCCTGAAACAGCACCAAGTTTGTTTCCAGACAGCGGCTGAGCAGGGCTGAGAGCTTTCCTCAGTCTACCAGCCTTCCAGCTGATAAAGCAAGCAGGGCTTCCAGGTTTCATGTCTCCCTGCCTGCCACAGCTTCTGTGCTTTGTCTGCACTCCCAATTCACCCCTTCCTCTGGGTTCTGTCCAGGAAACTTCATGCTTGGTCAAAATTGTTACAAAGTTCAGCTGGAAGTTTCCTTCTCCCTGTGTTTTTTTCCCAATTCCTCTGGCAGCCCTCCCCAAGGACTCCTGTGAGACAAAGTCAGAAATGACTTCCCTGGGGACTGAGAGAGACAACAGGGCTCTTCTCGATGCTTCTTCTACCCCTGTATTTTGCTCAGCTCTCTGAAGTTATCTCAGTTCCAGGTAAGGTCAAAACCCTCCTCCTGTGATCTATACCTTCAGGTTCCCCAGTGAGAGTATGTGTTCAGGGGTGGATGATCCTCCTCACACTTTCACACTTTGGGCATTCATGGTTTTTTGGCTGTCACCCAGGGCCTGAAGCAGCACTCCACTTCTTTCAAAGGGTCTGTAGATTCTCTCAGCTTTCCTTGTATGTTCCTGAGGTAGTTATTGGCGCAGAAGTTCATGATGTGAGTCTCCACATGCTGCTCTGTCTGGCTGAGTGGGAGCCACAAGTTAGTCTTGCCTCCTATTCATCCTCTCCCGCAATGACCTGTGAATTTTCAAGTAGAGGATAGAGTGTACTGTGTTTTCTGGTGTGTCCTCAGAACCTCATTTCTAAGAAGCGTCTTGTGGAACCAGTGTTATGTGAAATATATTTTGGAAAATTTGGCCTGGGCAAGGGGAAGCCAGTGAATGTTTTAAGGAGGGTGACATGGTCCAAAATATTTTATAGGGCCTTCTCTTGGCAGGAATATGATTTGATGAGAAAGAGGCTAGAGGCCCAGAGAACAGATGAGAGCTCATTGGCATCAGCACTTGGACATTTAAGGGTGAGGGCCCAGATGTGCGATGACAGTGGGATCAAAGTAAATATGTAGATGTGAGAGGGAGTGTGAAGAATAAGAAGTCATCAGCAAATGATAATTGTTTTCTAAACAGAGATAACCCAGATGGAAAATTTAAACAAAAGAATATATATAGGTGCTATTTAATGAGCATTTGTTATATGACTGAATACACACACACACACACACACACACACACACACACACACACGCTCCATAGGTTAAGACAAATGAATTAATTTATCCAAGATGGCATGGATAAAATTAGAATAGCAAAGGTTTGAATTCAACTAATTTCGAAGGCCAAATTAGTGCCTCTGTGCTAATCTCTTATAAGAAGAATAAGAAAAGATTATACCAAGTGGTGTTATAATTAAGATTTGATGGGCCATAGAGTTGAAATTTAAAAAGTGAGCAATTAAAAATACTTATCGTGAGATATACATGTAACATAAAAATCTTCTGCAATAGGAAGTAGATGAAGTAATTTAAACATGACACTTGAACCTTAAGGAATTTTGGCAGTAAAAATATATGATATATAATAAGACGTTATATGAGATATAATTAGAATATGATATAAAGTGCTATAGTATAGATTAGAGACTACAAGCATAACTAAAAGCCATTTTCTCCCAAAATTTTACTTCTAAGAGTTGTGGCTGCTGAAATTAGACCAACTTTTGACAATAAAGTAATGAGTCAAATGAAAAATATAGAAATAACCACCTGTGACTCACCTTAGTAGACCTGGTGTACCATAGAGGTAAAAGCAAACAATTATGATACAGGTGTCCTACACAGTGAATGTTTTTTTCTGTATTAATTGAACAAATAATACCTTGCTAAAATATGTTAGGGACTATATAAATTACTTCATTTACATTATTTTCTGTAGGTGAAGGTGAGTATATTATGCTCATTTTACTCATGAAGAAAGTACAATTTAGAGGTTAACTCATCAAAGATCCACAACCAATTGTCTGCAGAGTTGGAATGGGACTTGGATTTGTGTGAGTTTCATGTTTGTTTACTTCACATTTGAAGAAACATTAACCTTTCTCTGTACTGCTTTGTGATTTTTTTAAAAATAGTTCTTCAATGTCATATAAATATATCCAAAAGTTATCGGTTATTTCAGACTTCTTACAATTCCACTTCCTTTGTGAAACTTTTCCTGAGTTAAAAGATTCATCTTTCTTACCAAATAGTGATTACTCTCCCTGCAGGTAGAAAGCATAAATGCTAATTCATGAGCCTTGTATTTTGTATGTCTTGATTTGCTGTTTAACTACATTTATTCATCAAAGTAGTCTTAAAAAGTAATTCTCAAATGGACATTAGGATGGGGTTTAGACCATTTAAACCTTTATAATGGGTTTTAGGATGGGTTTTAGACCATTTAAAACCTTTATAATAATGTGCAAGATGAAACAGATATGGCAAAATGGGGTTACATAGTCAGAAACAGCCTCCAGAATTAGAAAATTTGGTTCAATGATGTGATAAGGGATGGAAATTAAAAATAAATAAAGACTTTCATGGATATTATTGTAAATTAAAGTGACCCAAACACTGGTAAGTGCAAACATATCTGAACATGGTATTTTCATGACAAAAGAAATATGGACAAAGAACAAGAAGATGAATTCTGTATGGATAAAAGGAGGCTCGTATATCTCAGAAATATAATTAAAAACAAGACGTTTAGAGGAAAAAAAATAACCTGGAAATGATATCATCAAAAATACCTATGGTAATAAAGAAAAACAAATTGGAAATGTGGCTGAAATGTGGTGGCACACAGGAATACTGTTATGGTTTGCACCATCTATGGAAGCATCCCATTACCAAGGAGAAGGGAGCTGTGCCTGTTCATAGTTCTGAGACACGATCACAGTTGGAATCATAAATAATACTTCTATTTGGAGGAATATTATTACCAGGAAATTATAGTCAAAATGGAAGAAATATAGAGACGTGCAATAATAGTGGTTAGGAACTGCCAGAATTGCTTCTAGAAGAGATGATTCAAAGAATTAAATAGCTTGGTATTTAACTCCTAGCAACTAGGAGTTCACGAGTGTTTATAATCACATGGAGATTGTTAACCCTAAAGAGACAGACATGTCAATTATTAAGGGCTATAATTAAAAGCAATTTAGTAAGATTAGGAAAGAGAGAATTGAGGCAACAGTCATAAGACCCATTCGAATACTGAATGAGGAGTGTGCCTAGGATTACATCCTAGCTTCTTAGTTTGCAATATGGGCTTCCTTTATTTTGAGCATTTCTAAACATCTCATGTGTTCTTTTTTCCCGCTGTGATTCCCTTTCCTCCTTATAGTTTTTATCTCTCTCGTTTGAACCATAAGTTCTGTGTTCCTTTGTGTCAATACATTTTATGGATCTTCTGTGGATTCCGCCCACTTAAAAATACTGGTTTTTAAAATTTATGTGGCAGCCTTGAGCTAGCATTCATTTTGCAAGCACTGAAAGCAATCTTTTCCTCACAAATTTTCCTTTCTTTAATCCATGGGTATGTTATATTTTCAGGTGCTATGCAATACATTTCTGTAACCAGAATTTCTCAGTGTTCTAATAAAAGCTATAAAAAAGGTGTGACTATCAGTAACTCATTTAAAATGATTTATCACAGCATTGTGATTCAATTAAATATTTCCTGGCAAACAAGTTTTCCTTAATGTGAACTTTAAATGAGCTTGGCTTTGAGTTATGTATACAGTGAAAGCAGCAAAATATGAGTCATAGAAGAATGTAAATTGGGGGACAATATTTTTATATTGTGAAATAGCTACTTTCTTTAAAAGAGTGACATCACTTCTTTAAAGTTCTGTCATTTAAGTTTTATCAAGAAGTAACTATAAGAAGAAAAAATTGAGAGATCTTTGGAAAAACAAATGCCATCTGTCCTCAGTGTTACAGAAATAGGTCTCAAAAGCAGATGAAAATGTGAGCAGTCTACACATCAGAGCTCAAGGAAGGCCAAAGTACTTTTACTGATGCCTGTGTTCATAGCTCTTAAACCCCCTTAGAAGGAATGTTCTCTTAATTAAAAATAAAAATATTCTGTGTTCTTTACAAAGTCTGATATTATTTCCAGGATGTCTGAACAATGATGTAGGAAAATCCATCCTACAACTACAACAGAGAAATATATTTTAATTGCTCTTATGCTTTGGAAAGAATATTAAATTTGTATCTTGGGAAATTATTTCTCTTTCCTCTTTTCTTCATCCTTTCTCTTTCCCTTTCTGTGTCACTGAATACTACTAGGTGCGAGATATTAAGTTGTTTATGGCCAAGTGAAATATTGCAGCCTATAAGAGTCATAAGAAAGGTGAAGGATTGGCCTTTCTTTGGTTCAGATGATAAGCCTGACACACATATGGTGCTCATGGCCTCTTCTGCGATTGGAAACAAACACTGTGTTTAATTCCTTGTTCTAGAGCTTCCTTTTGCTGCTTGTAGTAAGTACTGTAGAGATTTACCCTTTGTGTTTGGTATAAATTATCTCAAGAGAGTACTGTGTACCTCAAAGTCCTCTAGAGTCTGATTGTAGGGTAATATACAAAATGACAACCAATTGTTCCTGGTTTTACAGAAAAATTTCTTCTCTAACCTGTACAGATACTTCTTATCTCTAGATTCCTGTCCACTTCAAAAGAAACAAGTAGGTTGAACATGTGCCTTGAGACCTTTGCTCAGTATTGCTTAGTAAGAAAGCCCATAATTGTTGCTCACCTCTGACTTACCATTTTTAGTGTAAAATATGAGAAACACATTAAAAGCCTGAAAATATAGCTCTTGACCTAGCTTTATTATTTTGCTAGGGCTGTGATGCTGGGAAAGAAGAAAGGAATTAAAAGGAGCCCATTTATATTACATGTGTGCCATGATTACATATCTTTCTTAGTGAATCTCTAAGTGAAATGGAAATCTGGATTGAATAGCAGCAGTAATATATATACATAAAAAAAAAGAGGAACAATTCCCAACAGTGTACTGTATTAAGGTGCTGACCCAGGACTTAGAAGCCAAAAAGTGTCAGTCCCCAGTCCTTCTCTTTTGTCAAACCAAGTTTAATATATACATTTGTTCATCATACATACACACACAAGTGTATATATGTGCACACTTGCATATGTATATTTATATTATATAATGAATTATATATAGTTTATTTAAAAATTGACAATTGTAGAAAAATCAGAAAGTTAGAAAAATGAATAGTATTGCTATAACTGAGAGACAATGGGAAAATTACTGTTAGTATCTTTCTGTTTATTTTTCAGACTTTTATTTATTGTAGTTATCATCCCATATTTTATATCTTGTTTCTTATTTAAAATTTCAAATTATAACAACCATTTCATGTGCCTCTATAAACTCTTTATAGGTATCATTTAAATATATCCTAAGAGTTCGCAAAGTGGATAATTTCATAGTTTATTTAACCATTTTTATTTAACCATTTCCCATATTTGGGGCATTTAATTTTTCTCTCTCTTCTCCTAGTTCTCTTTTATCTAAAATTTTTTTTGCTTTGCCCCCTTCCTTTTCTTTCTCTATTATTCTTTTTTCCTCTCATTTTAACAGGAACTCTGTATCAAAGCTGAGATGTGGCTGGAGCTTTAAGATAGGTGACATTCCTTACTTAAGGGGAATATTTATATCCACTAATTTTCAATTTTGAGGGATCTCATAAAGGGTAGAAAACCATGATGGCAACAACATCCCTCCAAAAAAAAAAAAACCACCCTTGAATCGTGTTTATATATATGTATGTATGTATATGCATATGTGCATGCCTGTTTGTGTGTGAGTATGCGTGTGTATTTGTGTGTACGTGTGTGTTTAGGTTTTTGTTGTGTAGATCTGTATGTGTGTGCAAGTGTGTATCTATGAATACATCTGTGATTTGTGTGATAGATTGGAGGTGTGGGGATGTCTAAAGCCTGCTCAACAAACTAGGCTTGGAAATGAAATGAGTATCTCTATCAAACTGAATGTCTAATATGTATTTGCAATTCAGCTGCCTCGGCAACATGGCCTCATGGTTTTTGGATTTAATGGGAGAGCTGGTGTCAACAACTTTTTCAATCCAGATGCTCTGTGATCTGTGTGCTTTGAAGGAAAGGAGAGGAAGTGCTGTGTGTTTCAACTGAAGGACTCTATTGGTAATTCTTTGATATCCAGGTAATACTCTCAAAATCTGCCATGTAACTCCACATTGACATTAGTTTCCTGGCTTCAAGAGGGGACTGAGAAGGAGCTGCAGTATTACTGGTGAGCACTGGTGATGGAAAAAGTGCAGGGCCCACAGCTCAGGACAACGGAGGCCAGCCAAGCAATAAAGTCAGAGAAAAACCTCACAGTGACAACTCTGAGTAATCGGGAGGCAAATGCAAGCTCTACTTTTGTACTTAAACAAGTATTTTTGAAGAGCTCAGAGCTAGCATGGTTTAGGTATTTGGATTGAAATGTCAATATTAATGGGACTTCATTGATAGATTTGAGGAATATTGGGTCACCTGACTAAAACCACAGTGACCAATCTTTGTTTATCATTGTCCCCCTGCACAATATTTCTAATTGTTTTCTTAAAGCTAGATCCCCAGATGATGAGTTACCCAGTTTTTCAATTTGGGTTTGCCCCCCAAACAAACCCTAAGGCAAGTATTTGTGTGCAAGGAGTTTATTTGGAAGATCCCAGCATGCCCAAGTGAGGAATTGGAAAAACTGAAATGGAGAAAAAAGAAAAACCAATGAAAGGTGCTTTAATAAGTGGATTACTCCCATGGGCAACAGGGACTGAAACCTACTAGGGACACTTTGAGAAACCATATGCAACACACTCAGAATCAGTCTACAAAGATTGGCAAGCTGAGGCATTGATATATTTGTTAGTATCTCCTTTCTTTGGAGGTTGCTTCAGGTTTATTAACTCCAGAAAATGGCTACTTGTGGCTGAGCAGAATGATAAGAGAGGTGATACATTTGAGATGTAAACTTGTCAGAGGGCTGAAAATTCTATGTGACCATTACCAAAGCACACAAGTGGGATGAGGGGTAAGGGATGGAGCATTGGCAGCATCAGCTACACTGAGTTTACCATGTCTGTATTTCAATATACTGTTCTTGTGAATATGTGCCATATATTTAGGATTGTTATTCTTTTGCTTTCTTTCAACTAGGAATCACAAAGTATCTAGATATATAAGATAGACAATACCTCTAAAGCTTTTTTCAATCTCTGTGTCATAGTTCTGTTAAGCAACCAAAGCATGTGGGCCATTCTACTTTGAAGGTCTGCTGGAATGTGTATTTCTCCTTGGAAAGAATAAATATTGAGGCACAAAGAGGCTTGAAATGTGGAAGAGGAATGTGCTACCATAGCAGCCTCACTCTGAGGGTGGCCTAAATTGACTTGGCATTTTGGCTCATAGCTTTGAAAATTCCCTTTATTTCTACCCCAAATTCAAGTTGTCGGATGTCAGTACCCATTTATGTATATAGCGTTTTGTTTTCACTTTCCAGTTCTCCCTCATTCTACTTGTAATAAATCAACCTAGAAATATTTTTGACCTTTCCTGTGTCCTATCATTATTCTTTTAGTTAAGATTTTTGAAAAAAAAATGAAAGAAGGAAAAAAAAATAGTAGTTTACTGTTCTTCACCAAACAGTCACACCTCAGCACATAAAAATCTGGCTTCCATTTCCACCACTTCCCAAGGAATGTTCTCATCATATTCAATAAACTCATAAAGCCAAGTTTAATCAGCACTTTTTGTTTTTTTCTGTTGGGAATTACTGATTGCTCTTCTGAGATCGAGACTATTATGTGCTACATAATGAACATTCTCTATTTGTACAATGTGCAGTGCTCAAATTAAAAGCTAAGTTTATCATCTCCCAAACTAGCCATACCTCCTTATCCTGCCCAAAATTTGTCCTTTGTATTAGGTGTTTTGCCTTGGTGACTAGCATCACCATCTACCTACAACCTAAGTCAAAAAGTTGGAGTCATTTCAGACAATTATCCAACAGTTATTTTCTCCTTTCAAGGCTACACAGTAAATCATAAAACACTATTTCTTTGACACTGGACCTATTTAATCTTGGAAATTTCTGGTTTCCTTCAAGTTCTTCCTGAACTTTTCCTGGTATTTCCAGTGAGTGTCTCACAGTTATTTCAAGAACTTGACACTCCTTTGAGATCAATCTGTTATTAGCTTCTTATTCCCCTCAGTGCAATTGAGGTTTAATAGATAAATGAAAATTATATATATTTACATGGTATAAAATGATGTTTTGATTTACATTGTTAAATGATTACCACAAGCTAACTAAGATATCCATCATCTCAGGTAGTTACTGTTTGTTGTTGTTTTTTTTTTGTGTGTGTGCTGAGAACATTTAAGATCTACTCCCTTAGGAAATTCCAAGTATACAATGCAGTATTATTAAGTACAGTCACTATGATTTATATTACATCTCCAGCACTAACTCATCCTGAAAAACTGAAACTTTCTACCCTTTGACCAACATTTCTCCAATCCCCACACCCACCAGCCCCTGGCAAACACCATTCTACTCTCTGCTTTTATGAATTTGATTTTTACATTCCACATATAAGTGGGATCATGTGATGTTTGTCTTTTTGTGCCTAGCTTATTTCTCTTAGCATAAGGTCCTCCAGATTTATCCATATTGTCGCAAATGAAAAGATTTCTTCTATCTTTAAGGCTGGATAATGTTGTTATCCAAATTCATCTGTCAATGGACACAGGCTGATGTCATATTTTGGCTATTGTGAAGAACGCTACAATGCACATGTGAGTGCAGATATCTCTTCAATATACCAATGTTATTTTCTTTGGATATATACTTAAAAATGGGATTACTGGATCACACCATAGCTCCATTTTAATTTTTTGAAGAACCTATATACTCTTTCCCATAATGGTTGTACCAATTTACCTTACCACTAATAGTTATGCCAGTGCTCCCTTTTCTCCACTTCCTTGCCGACAGTTATTGTTCATCTTTTTGATAGTAGTCATTTTAACAGGTGTCAGCTGATAACTCATTGTGCTTTTGATTTGCATTCCGTGCTGATTAGTGACGTTAGCATTTTTTTCCATATATCTGTTGACTATTCTGTATAATGTCTTTTGAGAATATCTATTTAGGTCCTTTGCCCATTTAAAAAACTGGGTTATTTGTTTTCTTGCTATTGAGTTGAGCTTCTTAATATATTTTAGATGTTAACATCTTGCAAATATTTTTTCCCACTCTATAGGCCATTTTTTCACTCTATTGTCTCCTTTGCCATGCAAAAACTTTTTAGTTTGATGCTATCCTATTTGCCTATTTTTGCTTATGTTGCCTGTGTTTTTGAAGTCATATTCAAAAAAATCATTGCACATATTAAGTAGCATAGTTTTTCACGCTGTTTTCTTTTTAGCAGATTTATAGTTTCAGGTCTTTGATTCATTTTGAGTTGATTTTTGCATATAGTGTGAGATAATGATTGAAAATCATCCTTCCAAGGGACAAGATCCGGTTTTCCCAACAACACTTATAGAAGAGACTATCCTTTCTGCATTGTATATCCTTGGCAACTTTGTTGAAGATAAATTTACCATAAATGCATGGACTTATTTCTGGGTTCTGTTATGTTTCATTGGTCTGTAGGTCATTTTTTATGCCAATACCATACTTTTTTGATCACTATAGCTTTGTAGGATAGTTTGAAATCAAGTAGTGTGATGCACTCAGCTATGTTCTACTTGCTCACGTTTGCATTTGGGATCTTTTATGGTTCTATATAAGTTTTAGAGTCATTTTTCTATTTCTGTGAATAAAGGCACTGGAATTTATGTAGGGATTACACTGACTGGGCTTAGTATCATTGGATAAGGAGTTAACGTCTAAAATATATTAAGAAACTCGATAGCAAAAAAAAAAAAAAACAAAAAACCCAGTTTTTTAAAATGGGGAAAGGACCTAAATAGACACGTCTCAAAAGACATTATATAGAATAGCCAACAGATATATGAAAAAATGCTTAACATCACTAATCAGCATGGAATGCAATTAAAAATTACAGTGAGTTATCACCTCACATGTGTTAGAATGACTACTATCAAAAAGATGAAAGATAATTGTTGGCAAGGAAGTGGAGAGAAGTGAACACTGGCATACTATTGGTGATAATGTAAATTGTTGCAACCATTATGGGAAACAGTATGTAGATTCTGGAAAACAATAGAATAGAGCTATGATATGATCCAGTAGTAGTGTCTTAGTATCGTAGTAGTATGGACTTATAAAACTCCTTTTAAGGTTTCCTGTAAGGCAGGTCTAGGGGTAATAAACTATCTCAGGTTCTGGTTTATCTGGAAAAGTCCTTATTTCTTGTGTATTTCTGAAAATCAGACTCACTGGGTATAAATTTTTATTGGCCATTTTTTTTCTTTCAGCACTTTGGATATATTATCCCACTCTCTCCTAGTGTACAAGGTTTCTGCTGAGTTCCCTTTTATGTGATGAATTGCTTTTCTCTTGCTGCTTTTAAAATTATTTTTCTTTGATTTCCAAGAATTTTATTACAATTTTTTTTGATAAAGATCTTCACACATTCAGTCTATTTGGGGTTCTTTGGGCTTCATGGATCTAGGAGTTCAGTTTCCTCTCTAGATTTGGGAAGATGACATTATGTCTTTAAGTAAGCTCTCTGTGCCTTTCTCCTTCACTGTTCCTTCTGAAATTTCCATAATCCATGTGCTAGTTTTCTTGATGGTGTCTCAAAGCCATAAGCCTTTCTTCAATGTTTTTCACTCATTTTTATTTTTGTTCCTCTGACTGGGTACATTAAATAACCTGTATTTGAGCTTGCTGATTCTTTCTTCTGTTTAATTGAATCTGCTGTCGAAGCCCTCTGTGGAATTTTTCAGTGCTGTCAATGTATTCTTTAGCACCAGAATTTCTGTTAGGTTCTTCTTAATGGTTTCTGTTTCTGTTTTGAACTTCTCATTTGTTCATTTATTTATTTCCTGATTTTATTTAGTTGTCTATCTTTTGTAGCTCACTGAGAAAATAATTTTGAATTTCTTTGGCAGGCAATTTGTAGATCTTCATTTCTTTGGGATTGGTTATTGATGCTTTATTTTGTTCCTTTGGTGGTGTCATATTTCCCTGATTATTTTTGATCCTTGAATTGCCCTTTCGAAGTAGACACCTCTTCCAGTCTTTACATACTGGCTTTAACAGGAAAAGCACTTCAGCACTCAATCTGCTTAGATATTCTAGGCAGGGCATCCAGTGTAGTCCTCGGATCAGTTGTTCGTGTGTGTGGGTCTGTGAGAGCAGGCCTGAAGCCTGGGTCCACATGGGCCAACCTGACACATAGGTGGGCTTTGAACCCCAGTCTAGGGCTGCCAGCCTGGGGTTGGGGTGAACCTGGATTCTGGGTCTTTGGAAATGGATCTGGTCCTGAGTCTGTGGCAGTTGACCTGGTCCTGGCATTCACTGGGGTGGGCCTGGCATCTGGGTCAATGGGGGAACATGTGGATCCTGGGTCCATGGGGTGGGCTTAGAGCCTGGTTCCATTTGAGCCTGCCTTATCCTGTGGTTGGCTTAAAGGCTGGGCTTGTGGGTTGGCCCGATGCTAGGGCAGGCCTAGATTCTGTGTCCACAGGGGCCAGCCTGGAACCTGGGGCCACAGAGGCCAGCCTTGCACCAGGATCCACTGGGGCAAGTCTGGTGCTAGGGTCTGAGGCAAAGTTGTGTGCTCACTCTACTCCCTCCTTCCCTCTACAGAGTGTATCTCTCCTCCCTCTCTGTTTCCCAGGCTTAGGGGAGGAGTGACATAGGTAATGAAAAGCTATCCTTGCTACCTTCTTCAATTCTTCATTTTTAAAAATTTCTGTCTTCCATCCAGATGCTGTAATTTCTCATCTGGATTCTTTAGCTCTTATAAAAGCATTTTTTTTGCATGAATAGTTGTTTTAAATTGATGTTTCCAAGAGAGGATAGGAGCTGAAAACTTCTGTTCCATCGTTGCCTTAGTATATTTTGAGCTGTTATAACAGAATGCCACAGACTGGATGATTTATAATGAACAGAATTTTTTTTGTCCCACAGTTCTGGAGGTCAGTAAGTCCAATATCAAGGTGCCAGCATCAGGTGAGTGCCTTCTTGCTCCATCATAACATGGCATAAAGCATCATGACAAAAGGGCAAAGTGAGAGAGAGAGAGAGAGAGATAAAAGGGGACTGAATTCATTCTTTTATAAGAAAGCCATTCCCATGATAATAAATCCACTCCATGCAATAATGGCATTAATCCACTTATGAGGGCCAAGCCTCATGGCCTGATCACCTCTTAAAGGTACTACCTTTTAATACTGTTACAAATGGCAATTAAATTTCAGGTGAGTTTGGGAGAGGACAAACATTCAAACCATAGTGGCTATTTTGCTGATGTCAGCTGGCGTCTTTTCCTTATATCTTCAATTGCTTCTGACATTAATAGTAAATTATGCCAGCAATATCATATTACAGAAGTCCCCCAGAGCCACTGCTACTGCCTTATAAAAATGTTCTACTTCTGATGTCCTACTACTGATGTTCTGATGTTCTACTACTTCTGATGTTCATGTTATTTGCATTAAGATGGTGGAAACCCAAAACAAAATGTACTAAGAATGCTGGTGCTTGGTGTCTAGGACACTAGAGATACCATGATTGCTGTTAAAGTTCATTATTGCCACTGCATGCCTGATGATTGCTGTATAAGCAAAGTCTTTCAAGTTATTAATTCTCGTTAAAATGTTTCCTGATTATTTATTTAATTAGACCTTTGACAGACTTAGGAGAACCTATCTTTCAAATAAGCCCAGATACAGCTGAATCCTAGGACAAACAGAACTTAGGCTTAAGGTTGAACCTCTGCTATATTTTTTTTTCTAGTAAAATACTTGAAATTTCTTTATGTGCCATACCTGAGAATCCCAACTTGGAATAATAGAAATATAAAAGTTTTTTGACTTGGGCCGCTCCACCATTTCTTCTGGGACAGACTCTCAGACACAGAGACAGGCTACAGATGTGGGGCACCTTCTGGTACACTAGGGAAGTAGAAGGAAATCAATACCCTGGCAGTATTTCATGTACCTCCCACAACTGGTAATGACAGATTATTTCCAGGAGGGAGAGTTTTGACTTACATCACCTACACCTCTTGTAGCCAGCAGTGAGACCTCCACTCACCACTGAGAACTTACTTGAAGAAGTAGCATGTGCAGAAGATACTATCCATGTCTTGCATCCTATACATATGGGATGACTTAGCTGCTCAGGCTAGGCTGTCAGTCATTATTTTCCAATCATTTTATGCACCAGTCCGTGCTAGGTTTCCTGAGAGATCAGACACAGTTTTAGAGCCTAAATGAACTTTTCTCCTCACCTTTATACTCACCAGTTGGTCCAGGCATGAGGAGATTACAGTTCCTAGGGATTATTCTGTTGGATTCACTTTGTAATATGTTACACTAACTAATTGGACAGAGCCCAAATAATCTTCCTCTAGCTGGGGAATAACTGCCTATTACTGACGTTGATAATCTTCTGCCATCTCCCACAGGCATTATGGCCAGCACACTTCCTGCGAATTTGTACCACCACCCCTTATCTCATCTATGCTTCTGCTCACAGCACTGCACTGGAGCCAGGGGATGGATACCTGGCACTTGTATGTCCTATGAAGAAAGAGAGGAGGATACATTGCTTCCCTATGTATCCTTAAGGGATAGACCAGAGGAAAAGTTAAGTAATAGATAAACAATCAATAATACCTAATTGGTTTCCCAATCAATTAGCACTTACTGTGTTGGATTTGTTCACTTTCAGCCATAGTTACACCTTGAATTTCTGTATTTCCAAAGTGGGCTCTTTTTTTTCTAAGGAATTTCCTCAATTTTTTCGTGTAAGTAGGCTTCTGAGGAGTCTATTTCACTGATTTTTGTGATATATTTAATCATTCCAGGGCTACAAAATTTAAGCTGAATTTAAATTATTCATAATATAACAATCTCTCTTCCTCTGTCTCTCTTTCTTTCTATATCTTTCATTACATATATGTAATAAAATATTTTCATTATATATCTGTATATCTTTTATAGAAATCTTTTCATTATATATTTCATATATATTCATGTATCTTTCATACATTATATATATTCACATATATATCTTTCATATATATTCATATATGTTTCATATATTATGCATATTCATATATATCTTTCATATTTCTATATTTTTTTTTATTACATTTCTAGTCTCACTCCTCAAGTCCTCAAGGTCAGATACTAATTCCTAGAGCATGGTGATGAAATTCCAGGCTAGATAGACCTAAGTTCAAATCATAGTTCAGCTGCTTACTAATTATGTGGGCCTTGACAAGTTACTTATCTTTTTTAAGTTGACTAATATTTAAAGTAAAGATAAGAACTTTTTTAAGTTGACTAATATTTAAAGTAAAAATAAGAACACGACCTGACTTGTAGGGTGGTAGTGGAACTGAGTAAGCTAATGCATATAAAATCATTAAGAATAGAATCCAGCATATAATGTGTGCTTCATAAATGTTAGTTACTGTGATTGTTGTTATTTTTGCCTGGATTATAGCAGAATTGTCTTAACAGGTCTCCTAATGTTTATTTGGAGCTCTTCTAGTTCATTCTCCACACTGCTGTCAGAGTAATCTTTCCAAAAATTAACTGTGATTGTGCCATTCCTCTGCTTAAAACCAATTGATTTTCATAGTTTTTATCGTAATATTTAGATGCCTTAGCCTGGCATGCAGGCCCGTTGTAATCTCCTGCTGTCTCTTTAGTTTTGTCTCCTACCGGTCTTCCCCAAATTTTCATTGCTCTTAACATAAACAAATACTTAAATTTTTCTGAAAGCAGCATGCTCTTTTGTTTCTCCTGGATGTTGTGTATATTAACTCCTATTCATAGAACACCTTTGTCCTCATTTTCCTCTGTTTAATTTCTACTCATTTTTCAAAACCCTGTAAAAGTATCACAGCCCCTAAGAAATCCTCTAATTCCCTGAATTTGACTGAGGGGACCTCATTCTCTGCTTTGCTAGGCACTTGTCCACAGTCTGTCTTAACACTTTTCATATGGTGCAATTATCTCTTTCCTATCCGTGGACCCTTTTATATTGAAAGTTCTCCAAGGACAAACAGCATGTGTTATCTTATGTCTTCAATGCTTATAAGCTGCCTTGGAAACAATAGGTACATGTTTGCTGAATAAATGTCTGGTAGAAGAAGTGAGTGTATGAATGGACAACAAAATATGAGTGGGAGGAGAGGCACAGTGATAGACAAAGGAAGGCCAAAAGCTTTCCCTTCCTAGTTGAATTCCATTTTGCACTGCTAGGAGGGTGATGTGGAACTTGGAGAAAAGCTCTTGTCAGGGCTTTTCTAGGATCTTGGGAAGTATATGAGAAAAGCAGTTTGGGATTCTCAGACATTGCTGGGATAGGTTTGTATTTGGGTTGAGCTGTGGAAAGTATTTAATGGTCTGAAATTGCCCTTTCCTCAGGCTATGGTAAATAGCTGGGTTACTTATTTGTACTCAAGAACTCCTTAGAACAAATCTCAAATATCTAATATGTTGACATTTCTGTAATTTTATTTCATTCTGTAAGCTTTGTGGGGTCATAGATTCTCTCTCTTTTTTGTCCCTATGGCAAGTAAATGACTATGATGGCCTAATACATTTTTATTTATAAAATGATAGCCACATTACATAATATAGTGGTAGTGAAGAAAAATGTGGCTAAAATTTGAACTAACTTTTTATGAAAAGAAACTTTATTTTTTATTTGTTTATTTATTTTTTTTGAGACAGAGTCTTGCTCTGTCACCCAGGCTAGAGTGCAGTGGCACCATCTCAGCTCACTGCAACCTCTGCCTCCCAGGTTCAAGCAATTCTCCTGTCTCACCTCCTGAGTAGCTGAGATTACACACATGCCACCAGGCCCAGGTAATTGTTTTTTTCTTTTGTGTTTTTAGTAGAGTCAGTGTTTCACCATGTTGGCCAGGCTGGTTTCAAACTCCCGACCTTCAGTGATCCCTGTTTCGGCCTCCCAAAGTGCTGGGATTATAGGCATGAGCTACCTACCGTGCCTGGCCTGAAAAGAGACTTTAAATTCATATTTGTGTTAAGGTTGTTTAGATAATCCAGTATTGTTTTTCTTTCAACAAAATGTTCTCATAGTGCATAGCTTATTAATAAAAGTGCAAACAAGTACTAGAGACTGTGTAATTCAGTAGGTAAAATTCTTTATCTCTATTAAGTAAATGTGGTTTTAAAGCCTTTATTAGATGCAGAATTTCCCATGGTCATATTTGACCTAATAACCACATTTAAAAAAATAACTTTAAGACTCTCCAATAATAAAAAATAATTTTCTATATGGCAGTATTATCTGAAAGGACTTAAACTATTTTATGCCTTCACAATAAATATACTGTAGTATTTCACAGTCTCTTCTGGTGAAATTCAATTATTGGGTTTTTAATAAACTACATCATCAGTAAATTGAAAAAATGGTTTAAGGCAAAAAAATTTTGAAACAACTTCATAAACATTTGAAACCATAAAATTTTAAACATTCAAAGCTTATAAATAGAATTTTACAGGAAGTCAATTTGGCTTCTTACACTTTTTAGAATGAGATATTTGTTGCTAGTCTTAATAACCATAAAAATATTTCAAATGACCTCTACTTTAAATTGGAATAATTTATGCTTATATAATGACATTAAATAATAAATCATGATGAATTCAGAGGACACTATATAGACAATTTCCAAATTACAGATGAGTTATTCTCCCAAAGTTCTTTTGTGTATTTATTGAAGGGGACTTGGGGAATGCAATAATTAAAGGAGTGGTTGAGTTCCCAGACCAACAAATAGAAGTTACTTCCAAAGGAAGTAGAGTACTAAATCTTATGACACTTAATTACCACCACCTCACCGGGAATATGCATTAAGAATTTTGGCTGGGATTTCAGGAATACATCTTATTTTGTTGCAGTAGGAGTTAGAATTATTAATTCTAAATCACAGGCTTCGCATAGCTTCAGTAACCACATGTCTTGGATTTTTTGAATTGGCTCTAGTATCATGTGATGTTAGATCAACCACTGTATAGCTTGAGCTCCACAATATAGTGACCATGTTGGTTCAACATCCCAGCTTGTGCTCAGAATATAGCAAAGAATAAGACAGACATTATCCCCGCCTTCATAGACTCTTCTGTATAACGAAGGAGACACACAATTAAAATATATTTAATATGAAAAATTATTACCATTAAAACAAAATGTTACGAAGAGAATGAACAAGATACTAGGTAAGCAGAAAAGGGGAACTTACTATTGTTATGGTTTGAACAGGTCAGGAGATATGTCCATGAAGTGGAGCCAACAGGAAGAACTGGAAGGAGTTATCTAGGCCAAAAGATCGGGGGTGGAGGCCACATAGCATCATTAAAGATGCTGAATAACAAGGTGCAGTATATCAGATGAAAGGAGAGATAATCAAGGTTACTGGATTACAGCAAACTAACAATGTGACAGTGGGTGAGACTGGAAAGGAAATCAGGGACCAGATGATAGAAGGCCTTTCTTGGATGCCTTACTAATGATATTGGACTGTATACAAAGGGCAATGGGAAGTCATTGGAGGGATTTAGCAGGGAAATGTCTTGATTAAATTCATAGACCATGTCAATTAATGCTGAACAGAACTGAATTGTCTGGAAAAAAGCAGCAGTAAAATCTAAAGGCAAATGCTACAGTGTGGGGAGTGCTCTCTGATTCCTTCAGGCCCCTAGCTGCCGCACAGCAGGAATTTTTGGCAGTAATGACTCTTTGCATCTACTTTGGTTGGCAGTTCTTATGTGACAGCTGGCATGGCCAGCTTCATTTGTATGTGACCATTGCCTTTTAGCTGTCTAGTTCAACCATGTACTCAAGTAGGGTGGCCAACAATTCGAGCTTTTCCAGGACTGAGGGATTTCTAAGGATGTGGAACTTTCAGAGCTAAAATCAGCATAGTGGCAGACAAAGCAGGATGGCCAGCTGACAAACAAGAATCATTTTTACCTTACCTCTTGACAAGCAAGAATCATTTTTCTTTTACAGATTTTTTACAATTAGTCATTCAGCCTATTATGTAAAATCCTGATGGTAGTAGGAAACATTTTTCATGATAGTTCATTCCATTATTACATTTATTTAAAAATTTATTTTTTGTTAATCATAAAATTAATTCAAACCGAGCACAAACCTTATAGGTAGAGAAGTAAGAATAATTTGAAATCAGTCCTATTCCATTTTTTCACATTTGATGAGCTCTAATTTCTGTAATTAAAATAATTTTTTGAGTCAAAATTTATTTCCTCATAGGTATAACACATTCATTGGTTTATTTCTCAGGCCATACAGAACAATGTCTCTGATATACCTGAGAGCTTCTCCCTTCAAGTATTTGACTAGAGGCATGTTGTTCTGTACTGGATCTCTGATCCTCCTCAGACCACCTTCACCTGGGAGCTTCAACCACACATAAAACAGTATATATGGTTGCTTTCTCTTATGTAGAATGTATCTGTGTGTATACATATTAATATATACAAATATGAATATACAGTTTCAAATTTATTCTTTTTCACGTCTAAGAATAGTAACCATATAAATAGACATGTTTTAGTAGAGTCTTCAATGTTTTTTAAAATATTAAAAAATAGATTTTTTTAAAGCTTCACTCTATTGCCAAATGTATATCTTAGTTTGTCTTTTAATTGGCAGACAATGTTATAGATGTTCTAAAGATATTTTGAATGACTGTAAGTCTATAGTTTCTGACCATGTAGTAAGGTACCTGAGGTAGAATTTAGAATTACTGCCCATTTTAAGAGTGTGTACTTTAGTTTCCAGATATCAAAGTAAACACAAACTTCTTTTGTGGTTCATTCAAATGAAAACATTTTGCACACCACGTATTCATTAAATTTCAGTTGTAAAAATAGGTCTTTAAGTTGGTTATGGTGGCTCACGCCTGTAATTCCAACACTTTGGGAGGTTAAGTGGAAGGATTGTTTGAGCTCTAGAGTTTGAGACTAGCCTAGGCAACATAATGAGACCCCATCTCTACAAAAAATTTAAAAAATTAGCCAGGTGTGGAGGTGTATGCCTGTAGTCCTAGCTACTTACGGGGCTGAGGTGGGAGGATGGCTTGAGATGGAGAAATCGAGGCTGCAGCAAGCTATTATTGTGCCATTGCACTTCAGCCTGGGTGACAGAGCAATACTATGTCAAAAAAAGAAGAAAATAAAGAAAAGAAAAGAAAAGAAGGTCCTTAAGACACACTGTTATGTGGAATTTGATTCCTTATTCCTTTTCTTCCTCCTGTGTGTATCACACCCTCACCTTTCATTAGCATTTTGAACAGAGAACAAGGATCAGAGCAGTCTTTTACTTTTTAGCAATACATTTTAAGTGGAGGAAGATAGAGCTAGTAGTTATAATTAGGATTCTAGATTATTCACACATTTTCTCTTTCCCTTTTGCATGAAAAATTGAAGGCTACTTAAATGTTAAAAAAAAAAAAAAAAAAAGCAGAGGGTATTATGTGAATTACTCCGGTACCGGTTTAATCATGGGTGCAAATTTCAGGTAGATAATCTAAGGCTCAATAAGCAGAATCATGACTTTGAGCCCCAGATGTTGATTTCACTTCGGAAATTATTCAGGGTTGTTTGGCTTCTCCCTTAAATAAAAATTTCCTCATAATTACTTAATATTTGAGAAAGTTTTGAGCTATTTTGTAGAAAGGTCCTTTACATTATCATTTTTTGTTCTGAAGAAATCACCAAGTTTCGCAGAGATTATCTGAAGGAACTTACATGAAATCATTGGTGAAAAAAATAGTAAAGGGAACCATCTCATGCTATCGTTGAATCTTAAAGAATGTTTACTTAAAAACAATCAATTTAAAGCCGAGTACCATGAAGCTATACATGCAAAAAATGACTTGTTTGGGATTGTATGGCTAATAGTTATGAAATTGGAACTATGACATGGGTAGGTTTTCCTAACTGCAATCTTAGTGTTCTGCTGGTTGCATTAACTACACAGATTTCCCCGACTTTGAGCAAGGTTGTCATTTAGGAATTTGACTTCATTTAGGCTAGTGGTTTTTAGGGGTGGGATGGGGTGAGAATGAGGATGGAGATTATTAGAATCACCCAGAGAATTTCTTCAACATAAATTTCAATGGCCTGCTTAATCTAGGCTCCTCATTAGCAATGTCTTCCCCCACCCACCACCAGACATGTACCATTTTAATACACTTTCAGGATAGAGAAAAAAGATGTAATTTTAAAAAGCTCCCTAGGCAATTCTGATATAAACTCCCTGCCCAGGATTGAGAACATTGCTCTAGGCAAATATCATATTATCATGGACTTGTAAAAAAAAACAATAACATAAAGCCTTGGTTTAAAGATGAGTTTCAACTTATGAAAAGAGTATGAATAGTCTAAGAAATTTATGATTTTATATTCGTACTTTTTTCCTTTTGTCACTTTTATCTATTTATAGAAGAGCACTGTTAGAACTGAAAAGTCAGAAAATCTTTAAATAATTAAATGTCAATATTTAAAAACAAATCAGCCATGATCTTCTCAGGTCAATATGCTCTTCTAAGCAGAAATTTCCATAATTCTGGGTCACAGCTAACCCACTGGGAGGCCAGGCTTCTTTTGACTACTGAGTACTTCTACGTCGCCCACTTTGTTAGAGTGTTGAGAAAACTTGATCCTACATTCCCTATCCCTTTGACTGGCGTTCTTCAGGGGCACCCTTTTAACCTTTGACTAATATTTAATGAGGAACTCAGAGTCAGAATTGTGTGCATGTTTCACACATTCCCAGCAGTACATGGGTCCTCATCCTGTGTGGGTCATTAAGGACTCCCCTTTCAGGGCTTCTGGCTTCTCTTAACACGAAGCCTCTGAAAGCATCTGCAGCCTCACAGTCACAGCCTCAAAGCTACAGTATCCACTTCAGAATTCTGAGACTGTTTCGGCCCACTGTTTATTACCAGTACTCAAAACTCAGGTTATCTATTTTTCTCTCTTATACCCACTATTTCCTCTCCCCCAATTCATTTGCCCATTCATCTCTTCCTTTCATTAGAAATAATCTCTACGCTATTCTTAGGCTGTTGAGAAAATCCTTCTTTTTCCTCCTCTTTGCTTCAAATGGAACCTATAACACACCTCCTAGAGCAATCCCGCGTTGAGGCTGCTCATGTAGTCTCTACTAACATACGTGTATGCATCTTGGAAGTAAGAGCAGTATTCTCTTTGCTCCCCAATGCTTCCCCCCTCCTGCATTCTAATGGAAGAGTTTTTTCTATTTTGATGTTTATGCTATTAGAGCATCCATCCTATAACTTGGCTTGTCCAGATCACTTTCATATATTCATGGTGAATATTTGCTCATAGACTCTCTCTCCACTTTAATTCTTGAGACTGAACTTCTTTTATAAAGGTAAAAACTTACCAAATTCAATAAACACTTTTCTGTTTTCACTTATTTGACCTCCCTGAAGCATGTACTCTCACTTAAACACTAGGACCTTTTCTCCTAGGGGTCCTAGTAGGGCCCATTATACCACTTTACAGCCATGAGAAGAAATGCCTGTAAAATAAAAAAATTGTATTAAATTTTATATGAGTTCAATCCATTTTATCCTTGTAAGTATCATGTGAGGTGTTCAAGGCAGGTATTGTTGTAACCACTTTTTAAAAGAGAGAAAATGGGCTACAAAGTAAATGAGTAGATTTTCCTGAGTTGCACTAGTAGAAGCTGACAGAATGAGGACTAGCATCTAGGTCCCCCTTCTAATGCTCCTTCCACTATGTCAAGATATTTTAGTGAAAGATTTATAAGGATATAGAAAATGCCCTAATAGATGGATTTTAAATTTAAATTCTTATTGGTATTTGTGACTCAGTAGCATATGATGGAAACAACTATTAAAGTAGAAATGCTGATGTCGATTTCCTAGATAAACTTGCTTTCAGAATATCGTTTCAGAGCTTATTTAAATGAACTTAGATTGGGTGACATGACTTTCCTTCTGTAATTTCTATGTATTTTGGTATAAAAGAACTACTCTGTGAAACTTGCAATTAAAAGAAAGAAGAAGAATATTTTTTATGTAACCTCTGTAGCAGAAGAATCTTAATAGTGAGCAATAAAATGTTGAAATGAGATATATTTTAATTAGGTAATAATATCAAGCTTTGTTTATTAACTACTCTGAAGGTTCTAATGAGCTGTGAATTTCTGAGGGCTCTTTGGCAGGAAAATGAGAACATTTAACAATTTCTCAAACTAATCTCATTATGGAGAAGTCAGCCTTGCACATGCTTATTTAAAAATGAAGGAGAAATGGAAAACTTCTCTGGCTCCTTACACTACATCATGAATACAGCTTCCTTTGTTCTTTTATATATCTGAAAAATACTATTTGTATACCTAAAAATTAATAGGCCAAGTGTACTGTCCCAGAATGAGCATAATCAAGCTGAATTAACTTTCAGCAGGGCAGAGTTTCATAAAGATTTTCTGAGCATGAGGTCTTATCAAATCTCTTTATGTCCTCACATTACTCAGAAGAAGTGTGCTGTAGCTCAGCTATAGTCCCCTACATCATTAGGGAGTTGTGAAAATATCCTTGTCACTGTTAGCTCTAAGATATGCGGAAGCAGGAGGGGACCAGGTCACTACAAGTTGCAAAGCTAGTAGACATGATTTCAGTCCAAGTGGGTCTGGATCTGAAGCCTGTAGCCTTTTTGCTAAAAAATTGAAATTAGTATCAGTTCATCCTGATTACACTGCATTGCCACATGATTACTAAAATTAATTATTCAAATGTAATTTCATTGGTATGTTTTTGGGGTCAACAAACTCCAAATTTTGAAAGGTAAGTAAATAGCTATTTATTATCTTGCCATGTAGGCTGCTGAGATACACGTTTATGTGAAGATTTTTTTTTTCTGGTGATTTATTGCTGATAGGTATGGCAATGAAAAAAAAAAGAACCTTGTATTTTTGGCCTCTTCCTTCAGTTGAATGTTTATCTTTAAGAAAACTGCATGTTGCAAAATAAATATCCTATTATTTTTCAATTTAAGCCTTTTTTTTAAACTGGGGATAATACAAATTTTATTAGAAGTCAAAAAAGCTATTTAACTTGTAATCTTAGAAAAATAGTTTCACAATTTTAAGGCATATATAATAAAATAATATTTGTGTTGCTGATGATTCAGATATTTTATAGGACCACACTAGTCTTAACCATTATCCTGAAAAAATGTAATAGATTCTTTGTCTTGTCATTTATTTTAAGGTGGTTTCAACTGACACAATTTACAATATTTTGCTAGAATTTTATCATTAGAAGATCATTGGAAGATAGATTTCTCATGGAATGTTTCTCTAGAAATAGTTTCCAAGATTATAGAGTAAAACTTGTAACTAAATTTACCCATAAGCACACTTAATATTGTTAGCTAATCACCTGTGGGACCAGTCTAGACTGAATTTGAATTTTCCCTCAAGCAGTGGTGGCAGTGTTATTGGCTACTTACCTATTAGTACAAGTTGTGCTTATTAAATGTATGATTTAGATTCTGGTGAAAGATATAACTTTTCTAATTTCTTTTCTTTGGTATAGCTATCTAGAGTCTATTTGTACTGAATCAGAATTTTAAGAAGCTAAGGTAGAATAAGGAGATGTCTAACTCTATAAGCAAGCTGATGTTAAAGATGTTAATGATATACCAGTGGATTATTCACTCTCAAGGAGGCTTTACTCTCAAAGCTAGAACAACCAAATACTGTACATACAGTATGTGCCCTAGATATTATGCACTGATAGTAACATATTAACATTAATCCATTGTAGTCACTCCATATTACTCAGTTGTTTTATCAGTTTGGCTCCAGGTGTAATCCAGCTTGTGTTAAGATTAATTCTGTTAGTTTTTTTTTTTTCAAGGTCATATCAATAAGCATAATTTTTTAAAAGAAAGTTGTAGGCTTCTTGGACTCAAGTCTGCTATTTAGAGGAACCATAGCCAAGAATATCCTAGAAGCATGGAAAGTTTATTAAATTATTATTAGCTTTTGTTATTGTACAAAAATCAGCATGGATCAAATTATAATACTTCAGCATAGATTTCAGGATTTTTTTTTCTTTACAAAGCCTAGAAAATAAGCAATTCTAAATAAGTAAGTAATAAATATTTCCAATAGGTTAGCTTACATTTGAATCTTGTATAAAATTGAATTGTTCCAATCCCTTTTATTTAACATATAGCAACTCCTCAGAGACCTAAGGACAGAAATACCATTCGACTCAGCAATTCCTCAAAGGATAAATAATTCTATTATAAAGACGTATGCATGCATATGTTCATTGCAGCACTGTTCACAATAGCAAAGATATGGAATCAACCTAAATGTCCATTAGTGATAGACTGGATAAAGAAAATATGGTACATGCACACCATAGAATACTATGCAACCATAAAAAGAATGAGATCATGCCCTTTCCAGGGACATGGGTGGAGCTGGAGGCTATTATCCTTAGCAAACTAACACAGGAACAGAAAACCAAATGCTACATGTTCTCACCTAGAAGTGGTAGCTAAATGATGTAACCGCATGGACACATGGAGGAGAACAACACACACTGGGGCTTTTCAGAGGGTGGAGGGTTGGAGGAGGGAAAGGTTGGAGGAGAGGATTAGGAAAAACAACTAATGGACACTAGGCTTAATATCTGGGTGATGAAATAATCTGTACAACAAATCCCCATGACATAAGTTTACCTATGTAACAAACCTGCACATGTACCCCTGAACTTAAAAAGTTAAAAAAAAAACTAAATATTTTCTAGTTTAAAAAATTAAATCATGTTTTTCCTGCCATAAACATGGCATGAGCATCACATTCTTCACCAATGATTTTGCTTTATTATTGGACACCAGTAATATGCGCAGAAAACCATTAACTTAAATAATTACAGTTGGAAAGTTAAGTTCAATATTAACAATGCTAAGTCAGAAAAGTTTGATTTTGGTGGACCTTTTTCAAGGTTTGTCTCTTAAATATAAAATAACCCTGTCTCTCTGATGATTTTGTTCAGTTTCCAGTGCATGTTGCTGCTAACTCACCGTACAGAGCCCACTGGGGGGCCATGCTGCTCAAACCACATAATGCACACTATAATACTGAATTTCTCCTGTGGGTGATATGGATGACTAACACCACCTTCTCTTTTGATCCTTTCAGTTTCACTTTGAAAAATCTTCACGTACATAAAATTTGCCATAATAGTACAGTGACAACTCATGTACACTTACCTTGATTCATCAGTTGTTGACAGTTTACCATACTAGCTTTATATATTTCTCGAAAAATGTCATTTTTTCCTTTATTTCTCCCTTGTTGCCTTCCTCCTTCCCCCCTCCCTTCCTTTCTTCTTTCCTTCCTTCCTTCTTTACTATTTCTTTCTCTCATTTTTTTCTATTTATCCTATCTTATTTTTAGAACCACTTACAAAGTAGTTTCAGAAGCTTACCAAACTCATTAACTAACATACTTTAACGTGTATTTCACCTAAGAACAAACATTTCAGATCACTGATCAGACAGTTCAATGATGACCTCAGGATATTTAGGAATTTTTACTAATTGTTTCATTAATGTAGCTCCCTCCCCTCACATATTACATTTATCCATTTCTCTTTAGTATACTTTAATTTAGAATTGTTTACCAGCTGTTTTGTGTCTTTCATGGCATTGATATTTTTAAAAAGTCCAGGTTAGTTGTTTTGCAGAATATGCTTCAATTCAGATTTTTCTGTTTATCTATTCTTAAAACACCGCATGTTCTCACTTATGAGTGGGAACTGAACAATGAGAACTCATTGACACAGGAAGGGGAACAACACACATTTAGGCCTGGTTGTGGGGGGACTTGGGGGAGGGAGAGCATCAGGAAAAATAGCTAATGCATGCTGGGCTTAATACCTAGATGATGGGTTGATAGGTGCAGCAAACCACCATGGCACGTGTTTACCCGTGTAACAAACCTGCACATCCTGCACATGTACCCGGGAACTTAAAATAAAATAAACCAATAAAATCCTAAAAAAAGTACGACAGTAGGCCAGGCGTGGTGGCTCAAGCCTGTCATCCCAGCACTTCAGGAGGCCGAGGCGGGCAGATCACGAGGTCAGGAGATTGAGACCATCCTGGCTAACATGGTAAAACCCCATCTCTACTAAAAATACAAAAAAATTAGCCAGGCGTGGTGGCGGGCGCCTGTAGTCCCAGCTACTTGGGAGGCTGAGGCAAGAGAATGGTGTGAACCCAGGAGGCGGAGCTTGCAGTGAGCCGAGATAGCACCACTGCACTCCAGCCCAGGCGACAGAGCGAGACTCCGTCTGAAAAAAAAAAAAAAAAAAAAAAAGGTAAGACAGTAATACAACCTCTGCTATGATTTATGGTATGCATTTTCTACAATCTATCCAAAGCATGTAAAATGTTGGAAGTAGGAAGATTTTCAGAATTATTAGTATGAGAGCATATGTCAACTCTCTACTTTTGTCATTGACTTTGAGGAAATTTGTAGATTTTAAATGTTTTTTGAAAATATTTAGTTCATTCTCTGTCACTACTTTTGGATGAGAAATGATCCCAAGTATTGATAACATCTGCTTCTCTTGGTCATAAGAACTTGGATACAGAAATATGAAAATCAGGACACTGACCATTGTTTAAAAATAAAATGTAAATCAATTCACAATCAAACAATAATTTATTATATTATTAAAAGTATCTATGAATATTTGTTAAATGCCAGATAGATAAGCCAGAAAAATTTAAAGTACTTATTTCTAGTGGTTTATAATAGGTGGGAGAAAAGACACAGACACACATACAAAGTACTCAAATAAGTATGAATAAAGAGATTAAAAAACAGGACAGATAACTTCTTATGCTGCCTAGAGAGGAATGAAGTGGGGGTAGGGCTAGAGTATCAAGACAAGCTTTACGATTGAGATGGAACTTGAGGTATGGAAGCACGTCAGTGTGGTGGTAACACACTCAAGTTTGAATTACTCAGGCTTAGGTTTGAATTCGAATATGTAATATTTGGGCTGGGCATGGTGGCTCATGTCTGCAATCCCAGCACTTCAAGAGGGTGAAGTGGGAGGATCGCTTGAGGCCAGAAGTTCGAGATCAGCCTTGGCAACATAGCTGCCCCCCAAAAATGAAAAATAAAAAAATATATCTGGGTGTAGTGGTGTGTGCCTGTAGTCTCAGTTACTCAGGAGGCTGAGGCAAGAGGATTGCTTGAGCCCAGGAGATTGAGGCTGCAGTAAGCTGTGAACATGTCACTTACTGCACTCCAGCCTGGGTGAAAGAGCAAGACCTGTCACAAACAAAAACAAAAACTAAAAACAAAACGACAACAACAAATGTGTCACATTTGGTAAAATACAATTTATGATTTATAGCTTACTCTTCTGTCTGTTCTCTAAATTGAAACTTAAATACCTATCTTGCAATGTTGTGAGTACTTAATGAGATAATGAACATGTGTAGCCCAAATTAAGTAATAGATGGTAGCTGGAATTACTACTTAAATATGAGTGGTAGTTTGCTTCATACAGAAGTAGACACAAAAGAATAGAAAAGCGTGGCGTGAACAGTGTGCTGGAGAAAAGGGTGTCTTCCATTTGGTCGGCAAGCCTGTTAGGAGATTTCACACTACAAAATTTGGCCTTGGATTTTGTAGAATTATGTTTGCTAACCAAAGAAGAGAGACTGTAATCTATCAAACTGTTGCAGAATTTTGGAAAGGAGGTGTCAATATAAGATCTATGTTTTAGAAAAATCTATCGGGGCAGTGTGATATAGTCACTGGATCTTAAGAGGCCATAGATAACTTGAATACTGTGTGTGCCCATATAAAATATAAGGAGTTACAGACTTTTGAGTCATCTAATCACCATCCTGGGGCAGACATCTATGAGTCACTGGGCTTCAGGAATAAAATATTGGAATTTCTATTTATTTTTACTTCACCTTTTAAGTTTCTTTTTATATATTTAAAAATGTACATTATGCATTAGTAAAATAAAACAAGCACATCACTTATAAATAAATAAATGCACATATGTTGTGAGTACACACACTGGATTCTTTTTACCAAGAAGCAAGCAACCCAAAATGTTTTGAGACTTCCACTCCAGAGGGTCTTGGAATAGTTTGAGTGCTTCTGACCTGGAAATAGGAAAACCAATTAGTATAGTGTTTCAGTAGTCCTGATACATTTTACTGAAGATTTGATCTTGGTTACTAACACTGGAATAAAGAAAGGAGATACATTTGAAAGACTGTAAAATAAATTCATAATCGGAAGCTTGCAAGCCATAATATCATCATGGATATTTTTGTTTGTCAAGGATATGAAAGGGAGTTGTCAGAGATCAGCAAAGTAATGACTGAGAATACACCAGTGATAGGCAATCCTAGGGAATAGGGATTTACTTCAAAGACAAACTCAAGTTCTTTGATGCAAGGTTGCCTAATTGGATTATGAAATTAGTTGACAAATAAGAAAGTAAGGAAGTACAATCATGTGTATTTAGTTTTCTGTTTAGATGTAGTTCTATGTGGAAAAGGTGATTAGAGTAGAATGTTGACCTTCTTACATGAATTCAAAGGTAATAACTCAATTAAAATGATTAACATATGAGTTAGGTATAAGACTATAGGGAGGATAAGTTACATCCTTTAATGATAATAGAGACAATGGGCTAAGGTTAATTTGCGAAATGCCCTTACATACTGTATCTGAAGGGATGAAATTTTGCTGAGCAACAAGTTGCTAAGCTGATCAAGGAACTAAAGCTTTTCTTCAAAAAAGCAAATATGAATTAAGGTACATATTTATTTCTTTTATAAAATGACAGTAATATGTAATCCTCAGTCTTGTCAGTGTAGATGTATTCCTCTTTGATTTTATCCTATTCTGTTAAACTTGGAGGGTTGACTGATTCTTCTTACAAAATAGAAGGAGTATGATTAATTGTAAATCATGATTGTATTTATTTGTTTTCTTTATACCAATGTAATCGGAGCAAATCAAGACTTAAAAGGTTATACTGTACATAACAGAGCAGAATTTTTTAGAAAATTTCTACCCATTCACTAATTAATTCAGTCAATTTTTCAATTGGTCATTCATTTATGAAATATTTATTGTATATAATCTGTGAAATAAGAATTGTAGTATGGCTGTGAAGAGTGTCAACAAGACAGAAAAGGCTTCTTACTTTATGGAATTTAAATCTTCATGGGAAAGACAGACAATAAGTAAGCAAATATATAAATAGGATTAATTATAGATTATGATAACTAATACTGTGAAGTTTATAAACAATTGATACGGCTGAGAGTACTTGGAGGGAGGTGTGGTTTCTTTAGACAGAATGAACAGGAAAGACCTGTGAAGGCAGGTCACATTTGAGAATTGAAAGATGAGAAGGAGTCATATCTATCTCCCCATATTTCTACTCTTTATGGAAACTGAAATACCTTCATTTGCTATTATGGTTTTCCTTCTGTCCTCCAAGCGAAAATAAATAAAACTAAAATAAAATATCCCTCTCCCAATCAACCCATGATGAATCTCTACTCAATATATAACTCTAGCTCCTTCAGAAATCTCTGGTTACTCCTTTCTGCCTTTTTCCAGGTGTATTCTCCAGTTACTGCCATATCCTTTCCGGTATAGTTCAACTTAATGTCTCCTGCTACCTCCCTATCTTTATCTTTTCCACAGTTCAGCCCAGCTCGACAAAGGGCCTAGAGCTGAATAGCTCAGTATGAAACTAAAGAGATTTCCTAAGTTGTTACGGTGAGGGAAAAGGTGTAAGACTTACATTTTAATAAAGTTTTTGACTGTGTTATAATTTACCCTTTATCAAAAAGGACTATAATGTATACTTTGACACCCAGCATCCCTTTTCATCTAAATCTCAATCTTTTGAAGTTCTATTCCTTCTACTGGGTTTGTGCGTTTGTGTTTCTGTTGCTTTTGCCCTTGTTCTTTCTGATTCAAACTGATTGTGCTCAGTTTCTATGCAATCAGAGAGGATAATTGATGTTTTCATTGATTACTTTTTTTCTGAGGTATTATATGCCAACAAATGTTTGACCTTGCCATTAAGTGAAACAAACATAGATGTTGCTACCTCCCAAAGTTCTTAGATGACTTAGGTTTGTTAAAGTATCTTTTCCTACATCTAGGTTCTGATGTGATTCAGGGAATTAGTAGTGCTAAATGGCCAGAGACGCCATCAATCATCAATCCCTATGAATAGAATATAAGTTAGGAGACATAATCCATACACTGGCACCAGGTTGGTTCTGAAAATCTCTTTATAGCAAGTGAATAAATGTTTCTATCCGTGTCCATGAGGACCTGTTCATTTAAGGATTCTTTCTTTTTATGTTTTCTTTCCTATATCAGCTTTCCTGGCCCCCATGGCTGCCCTGACACCTCTATCCAGAAGCCTTCTATTTGCGTTTATCCCTGAGGGCTGCCACAGGAACCTACTTTTCCTCCTCTGTAGTTACATTCACTGGCCTTGAGGGTACAGGTGGCCTCTTACGATTCTGGAAAAAAGTCTTAAGTTTGAATGGAAACTTTTGGCTTTAAATATATCTTGTACTGACTTGATCCAGACATTCCTCTTTTGCAAACTCTCCTCTGGGTGATATGGTTTGGCTGTGTCCCCACCCAAATCTCATCTTGAATTGTAATCGCCATAATCCCCATGTGTCGTGGAAGAGAACTGGTGGGAGGTAATTGAATCATGGGGGTGGTTTCCCCCATGTTGTTCTTGTGATAGCGGGTGAATTCTCATGAGATCTGATTGTTTTATAAATGTCTGGCATCTCACCTGCTGACACTCACTCTCTCTCTCCTGCCACCTAGTAAAGAGGTATCTTCCCCTCTGATTGTAAGTTTCTTGAGGACCCCCCAGCCATGCAAAACTGTGAGTCAGTTAAACCTCTTTTCTTTTTGAATTACCCAATCTCAGGTATTTCTTCATAGCAGCATGAGAATTATCTAATACATTGGTACAACTGTGTGATGTGCTATTAAAGACCCTGGATCTCAACACTGTGCAGAAAACTTCTTGCCCTTCTCTTACACATGTTTATAAATTGATCCTGTAAACTCCCTGTCTTGCTCTGCATTCTTTTTATGACGAACAGGCATTCAGTCATGGATATGGAAGCCTACAGCTCTGAATCCTGAAATTATTCTTAATGCAAAGCCTACATTATCTATCATTACCCCTTTTAATCTCTGTTAATTTTCAGCACCTTAGAATTGTCACTGTTGTAGTATTTCAGTAACACATTCCTTTTTCCAGCCTTGAATTTAATTTATGAAAACTACTCCAGTTTCTTTAGGGAAGAATTTTTTCAGCCCTCTGAGGTCTCCAAGCACCAGTGAATCAGATCTTAGCCTGTGGGTCCAGGAAAGGACCCTAAAACAATTCAATTGTGCCTGCCACAGACCTCTTCTTTTTTATAGAAAAGACTCAAATGTTTCAATAAATTATGTGTGTGTAGATGTGGCTTAAATACTAATTTCTATCCTGTAATCTCATGAGAGCTTTCTTAGACTTTCACAGTCTGGCAATCTCACATAGTTCTAAGGCTCTCTATTCCATTTGATATATCCAGTTACAGATCAGGCACTCTTCTAGTGTCAGAGTAATTTTTATAGTTTGCTTCTTATCTTACTGGGGTAATCCAATTATGACTTGTACCTGCTCTGGCTTGTCTGTCAAATTCAGCAACCTGACTGTCATGATGAAAGTGGCAGTCTTGGCTCATCAGAGGTGCAGCTTTAAGTCTTTTTTTTTCATGACTTTAAAAGTCATCGCAACATGTTGTGGCATTAAAAAAAAGATGTTTGTTCTAAAGAAGCTAAAGAGAAATTCTGTATTTTGGGGGTACTCAGAGTTGGAGTAGGTAATTATATTGTATATTAGGTAGTATAATACCTAAATACTTCTTCCTCAAAGTCCCATTTCTCATCAAAGCTGCCCAAATCTCAACTTCCCTGTTTGCTTATCTTCTCTCTACCTTGCAAATAAAAATCAGAAACACACTAATCTCTTCCCTCACAACTCCTTCCTTACTGTAGCTCAGCTCCTCCAATATTGATTCTTGTCACTTATACCCCTTATTCAGTTACCACTAAAAATCTCTTTTCCATATCTCCATAAACTTTTTTTAACTTCAGTCAATTTAACCATTTTCTGATTTTCCTAATTTCCTTTCCAAGCCCGATAGCCTCCTCCTGGCTGAAGTGTTTTCAAAGGATCAAAGACAGTAGTGCCTTAGGCTGTGGATCCTTACAATTTGATCTTTTTTTGACTTTATCATATTAATACAAATTTCTTAACTCTAAAATAACTTACAAATATTTAAAAAAATGATACTGAGATACACTCAAGTCACTAATGAAAACTCTTGACACTCAGCCCTTAATAGACTTCCTAATTTCCTTCTTAACATATGTAAAGCAGATCAAATTAAACACTCTTGACATTTAAACTCCTAAAACAAAACAAGAAGCCAATTTATACTTCACTCAGAATAAGAAAAAAAAAAGTCCCAGATGTAGCCTGTCTCCCTCCCCTTTAGCCCTGCAGCAGGGTCTTATGGATGAGACACTTCACAGGAAAAGATCAAAGCAGGCTGCTGTGTTCACTGGATGTAACACATGGTAGAGGCCAGGTTAGTGAGGTTGTCACATTCTGGTCTTAAAGGTGGCTTGAGGGTGAACCTGAGTCCAGTTGGTAACTATCCTATGTAAGAGCAGGACTCAATCTCAGCAAGCACCTCCAATATAAATACAACTCCTTCTCTGTATTATTCCTGAGATCTTATGATCTAATGATCATTTTTATAACATCAGAGATAGAAAAACGTCTTGTACAAGCCAATATGTAAGTACTTTGGCCCTCTAACTCCAGAATATTTTCTTAATCAAGATTGTCTCATTAATCCTTTATAAACCAGAAATAAAACTCTAAGCCCCCAAACTGACTAAATGGACCCCTATCTCAGCCAAGAGGATTCCCAAGAAACCTGAAAAACAAGTTCAGGCCATGAAAGGAAGCAGGGATCAGACATGCCTCATTATACCCTCTCTGATTCAGACTTTAGACACAACTGACCCACATTAACATTAAAACAGAGATTTTAATACTGACAAACCAGACTTTTTGTAGCAGTAAGATGCCAAATTCCAACCTGACTCTAGTATAACATCACATGACAGATAAAGAAGAAAATCAGAATATTTTACTTAGAATATAGTCCTTTGCCATATTTTGAAATGGCTCTTTGCATATGTAAAGAATCTCTATTAAGATAACTAGATCCTCCCCCTTTCAGACCCTCCCAATCCTGAAGAGATTAACTAAGAGCCTGGTACCTTCTAAGGTCTGATAAGATACATTTACTATCTGTTCTCTTTGAAGCCTGCTACCTGGAAGTTTCTATATAACAAGAACCTTGGCTTGCACAACTCCCTTTATCGTCACCTCAAGAATTTCTTTCTGCTAACTTCAACTTTAGGCAAAACTTAACTCTTAACCATTTGGTAATTTGGAAATCTCTGAATTCACCTATGATCTGAAATTACTCCCCTCTCCCTGCTTAAAGATGTCCCACCTTTCCAGTCCAAACCCATGTGTACTTCACATGTATTGATTGATATGTTTCCCTAAAATGTATAAAACCAAGATGTCACCCCACCACCTTGGGCACATGTTCTCAGGATCTCTTGAGGCTGTGTCATGGGTCATGGCCCTCACAGTTGGCTCAGAATAAATATCTTCAAACATTTTACAGAGTTTGGCTTCTTTATGGTCAACACTTCTGTTATACCTATATTGATATAAGTTACCTTACTTTACTACCCCATTTAGTTTGGTTAGTACAGGACCATTGGTTGCATATTGACACAGGATATCCAAGACACAAATTTTCAGTGATTGGTTGTTTCAGGTACATTGTCATTTTTATGATTTTATATTTAGAAGAGAACGTGTTAGTGACAAAATTTATAAAAAAGATATCACACCCAAGACATATAATAGTCATACAAAGAAAGATGAACATGGTAAGGATGATTTATGTGATAAAATATATTTTAACCAAAATTAAGGTGTATCACAAATAATTAAAATCAATATTTTGAAAGACTTGTCAGATTTGGTTTTACCAGGCATAATTGTAGAACCTCAGAAAGGAAGGGAGTGAAATAGTCATGTGAACATCCACTAGTTAAGAGCTATAACACTGAATAACATTTAAAATAAACAAAACAACTATATGAAGACAGTGGAAAGCATTTTAAAAGACCCCAGAAGCTAGGAGACAGTTAAACTCATAAAACTACAACTGGAATGGGTAAGAAGTTTGAGTCTGTTGCTTCCTGACTTGAGTGTGTCATCCTCCCCCAGGGCAAAACTGTCTAAATTGGCAACAGGCTAAATGTGCCAGAGATCAAAGTTCAAAACTGGAAAAACAACTAAAAATTTATAGGAGAAATCCTGAACAGTATGAGAAGCAAGGAGACCCAATTTCTGAACATAAACTGTCCACATATTTGTCAGAAAGCTAAATAACTTAAGTATAGGGGAGCCCTCAGGAGGCATGATGGGAAATCAGCCAGAGACCAGAGATAAATATATCCTTGAAACATGGGGTGTCACAGAATCAGATCTTTGAATTTGATAATTTTCATAACTGGCTGTATTCCTGAACCATGCCCAGTTCAGTCAGCAGAAAGTTTGAAGTGTCAGCGTACACAGCCCAAAGTCAACAGAGCACTTGAAAATTAAGAGATACCCTGGAAGCAAGGGAAAACAGGAAGCATAAGCCCCATATCTGCTTAAATCTTCAGCTTACTGACAAATTTTTCAGGCATGAGGTGGTCCACAGAAAGCTAGGAAAAAAACGCACCAGTGGGAAGGCATTAGAATAAAGTATCCGTATTAGCAGCTGCATACTGCCAGATCTGGAGGGTGGTTGAGTGGAGCAAGTGGAGTGGAAGACTAGAGGGTGGCAACAGAATTTGCAATTTGATTCCACACAAATTAACTGTCTACTGAAACAGAAGAGGATAATTCTTAGGAGAACATGATAAAATTTTGAGTCACTACAATATATTATCTGCAGAATCTGGGTTTTCAACCAGAAATCAAGTGTCAAAAAAATAGCTATATGTGAAAAATAACCGGGAAAATAAAAGCAGTCAATATAAACTGAATCCAAAAAACCTAGATATTGGATTAGGCAGATCGAGCCTTCAAAGCATATAATTATTTTAAAAGAATTAAAAGAAAATATTTTCAAAGTACTAAATAAAAATATGACCTTAATGAACAAACAGATGGGATAGAGAAATGACAATTAACTAAAACATATAAATTAGAGTGGAAAAGTAGAATTAATGAAATTTTAAAAATGAGTTGATGGTTTCAACATCAGATTGCAGATGACATAAGAAAGAATTGGTGAGCTTGAAGATAGATCAATAGAAACTATAAAATTTAAAGAAGAAATAGAAAAATGAATAAAGAAAAATAAAGTGAATCTTAAGATCTGTGGGAAAATATGAAGTGGTCATATGAAATGGTACAACATATATATCATTTAAATCCTAAAAAGAGAGACAAGAAAGGAAAAAAAAAGCAAAAAAAAAAGGAAAAAAAAGATGCAAGACAGTTCAAATTTGATGGAAAACATTGACCTACTAATCCAAGAAGTTCAAAGAACTTCATGCAAGTTAAACACAAAAAAATAAACCTGCAGACACATCATCATCAAATTACTACAAGCAGCCAAGCATGGTGGCCCATGCCTGTAATCCCAGCACTTTGGAAGCTGAGGTGGGAAGATCACTTGAGGCCGGGAGTTCGCTACCAGCCTGGCCAGCATGGCAAAACTCCACCTCTACTAAAAATACGAAAGTTAGCTGGGTGTGGTGGCACACACCTATAATCCCAGCTACTCAGGAGGCTCAGGCAAGAGAATCACTTGAACATGGAAGGCAGAGTTTGCAGTGAGCCAATATTGCACCACTGCTCTCCAGCCTTGGTGACAGAGTGTGACTCTGTCTGAAAAAGAAAAAAAATTGCTAAAAGCTAAAATAAGTAGAAAATCTTGAAAGCACCTAGAGAAAAATAACACATTAGCTATTAGGGAAAAAGGTAAGATTCATGCTTGACTTCTCATCAGATTATGAAAGCCCAAAGACATTAGAAAAGTGTATTTAAAATGCAGAAGGAAAATAAAATCAACCTATATCCAGTGAAGCTATCCTTCAAAATAAAAATGGAATAATAAATTCAGATTAAAAAGGTTAGAGAATATATTGCCATTAGATCTCTATTACGAAGAACAATGACTAAAGAAAGTTAATTCATATTTGAAGAGAAATAATACTAGATAGCAATGTGGATCTATAGGAATGACACAGTCACAGAAGACTACATACTATATGATTCACTTATGTAAATTTATATTTCTATCAATCATACAGTATGGCTGGAAAGCCATAGCTATAAAACTTAACTAATGAAACTTAGTCAATAGCTTGTAGTGGCATGTAGTGAGCCATAGAAAGGGCAAAGACATAGTGATGGAAAGCACATCAATGAGCCAGAGTAGGGTGAGAATTGATGATAAAGGAACATGAGGAAAACGTCAGTGATAAAAATGTTGAATTTGGTGATAGTTACATAAGTGTATACATTTGTCAAAACTCATTCAATTGTGCAGTTAAAATTAGATAAGTTTAATTTTACATAAATGACAGAAAACATAGGACCTAAATCAGAAAGAGCCTTACTAGGTCACTGGCTAAAACCTGATGAGCAAGGTTCTATTATAATATGTAAATATATATATATTTAATGTATACGTATATGTAAATATTTTAGTAAGTTGAATTTTGCATTATTTATACAACATACATATATCATTAGACATTTTTTAAATAAGGTAATATGATTTGAAATATTTATCTTGCAATATCCATTTAAACCTGAGCATAATGGTTTGCTACACAAAATTATGTTAATACCAGCTAATAGAACTTCGTTGATAGCCTATAGTAGCATTTAGTGAGGAGGATGGACTTTGGTGCTAGATACACATGGGTTTGAATCCCACTTCTCTCCTTAATTGCTGTTTTACCTTGGATAAATTATTCAACTTCTCTGAGTTTCAGTTGACTCAGTTGTTGAATAAAAATGCTACTATCTGTTTCATAGGGATGTTATAAGGATAAGATGAAAAAAGGTATGTAAATTGCTTATTGCAGTGCCTAGCAGAGAGTTTTTATGCAATAAATATTACCTATTTCATTATTTGTTGTACCAGAATATTTTAATCAATGTATAAAATAGTTTAGTTGAAGCAATGAATTACCACAATGGCTACTGGTAAATAATAAAATAATATTATGCCCCTAGAAAAATACTTATGAATAAGGGAGAACAATCAGAAACAGATTAAATAAAAATACACTGGCATTGGAAGAATGTATTTGATTCATATGAATCTTTTTATTTAGGGTCCTCAGCAATAGTTTCTATCCCTTTTCTAACAATCTACTTTCCTAAAAAGGTCTATTTAACTTTGCATCTCTCTCCCTCTCTCTTTCTCTCTCTCTCTCCCTCTCTCTCACTTTCTCTCTCTTCTATTTTCTCTCTTTTTCCTGGCATATATTCATTTCCTCCCTATATCAATTTCTTTGTTTCTCTTAGCTGCATGTTTTTCTTCATTCACCTGAGTGTGTAGGTAAGCCTTTTCCTTTGTTGGATTTGTGGTAATTTTCTAATATATTCCTCCTCTTACAGTTCATTCTCTGATTTTTTCAAAACACCCTCCCAGAATTGTCCTAAGGTGATGTGTAACCTGTGAAAACCTCATATTCACATACACCTTACACTTCACTCTAAAGGTCAAGGTAACATTTACCTGAGAGGAAGTGAAAATAACATCCACGTAAATGTTGGAAGGGAAAATCACCTGGCAATAAAGACTTGGTTGAGGCATCCTCTTAGGAGACAGGTCCATTGTGAAAAAAAATTAATAAAATAAAAAGTGGTCTTTGGGGATCTTGGAAAAAAGCTGGGCAACATTGGAAAGAAAATGGTAAGAGTTCAAAACAAGAAGCCTGAAGTAATAAATTCACTCACAAATGATTATAGACGAGGACTCAAGGGAGGAGAAGAATGTGCTATTCGAACACTGAAGATTGTGGATTCCATGGAACACTGGCAAAGAGTAATCAGTTTTTCATTCATGAGTGACCTGGAGATATTTACTGATGGAAAGAGTGAGTTGGATGACTTTGAGGAGAATGGTTTATCTTGAGGCTGAAAAGGGTTTAGATTTAAAGTCTTTGCAGGAAAAAAACACACTTGTACTTTCCAGCTCTCTGGCATTCAAGAGAATGAGGCAGAGCTAGATAAATGAAAAGGAGAGAGACAGAGCTCAAGAGAATGAGACAGAGCTAAATAAATGAAAAGCAGAGAGACGGAGCTCAAGAGAATGAGACAGAGCGAAATAAATGAAGAGAAAAGAGGAGAAATGAAAGTATCCTACATTTTGAAGGCTAAAGATGGATAGATAATGAATTATTAAGGAAAAACAAACCTGTATAATAGGTTTGGGCTAGATAAATAATAAGTGAAAACAAATATACATTCAGAAGATACTTTAAATTTTTTTTAATATGCTATAGACTAATAGAGTAATGTTGGACTGAATGTGTGGTTTGTGCAGTAAAGTTTCCTCACTTTGGGGTAATGTGTACTAACAATTGCTGACTATCTACCTCATGCCTCTTCTGACAAACTTTTAGTTTCACATCTTATTTGTCTACTGCAATATAGTACCATCTAGAACAAAACATATTTCAATCCTATTTTTTCTTTTCCTGTTACAATCAACCCTGTCTGAAAGAAAATGAGATTTTTACTTTTCCTAAAAGTAAAATAGACTGCTTTAAGATTAACAGCAGCCTTGCCTCTGTCTGAAACTAACTCTTGCAACTGACCTAGAGAATGTGAAGAAAACAAAAGCAAGCAAACAAACATAATACCTGCAATTGTTCAGAACAAGATCAATGAAAAATTTTAAACATTTTCTTGAAGGGAAAGGATTAAATCAACATTTAAAGGCTGCTCTTTTCCTGTCTTCTCTTTTTCTACCTATCGTCTTTCCTTAAGAATAGCCTAAAGCTTTCTCATACTCGAGAAAACAGATACAAGAAATTTATTTTCTTTCTCAAATCCAATAGCTTTGTCCCTGTGGTTTCTACATTTTCTGCTGTCTGTCTCTGTATTAGTATCCCCCTACTGCATTAAACTCCACCCTGGCTAGAGGATCATTTCTCATCCAAGAACAAAACACTGTTTTTACTATCTTACTTTTTGATTGATACAACCCCATCGGCTATTTCCCTCGTCTCCCATTTGTTTGTCTTCTCTTCCCCTCATCCTCCTTCAGTGTTTGAACCATTAGTCAACATTTTTCTTCATTCTACCAATTCTGAAAAAAGTGTTGTTTGAAAACTTCTTCCTCCCCTATGATTCTACTATTTTTATTAATGTTTGCATTTCAGCCCAAGATTAAACAACTCTCTAAGCACTGATAAAATATCAGAGATCTGCAGTTAGAACCAACTTATGACCTTAAGAAATACCTGCCATAATGGAAAAGAACAAGATGAGTTAAAGGAAGGTTTTAATAATAAATACAATGGGACCCACGGCCAGTTGGAGACAAAATTGCGAAGCATATAAAGTTTACCTTTCTTCTGTCCCCTCCACCATTTTCTGCCCTCAGAGTCTGTGTGTGTTCCCACGCCACAAGATTCTTGTTTACCGGAGTCACCATATATGCCAGCACTTCCTGGTCTGTGTGTCTGGTTTATATATGACCCCTCTGGTTACCTCCATGAAACTCATCTCTGCAGTATAAATGGCACAGGCAAAGTGTTAGAAATTGATTGCAATCCACTTTAACAAGTTTACATTGAAATGTCAATGATGGATAGCTCAGCATAAGGTGCTAGGGATATTTTCATTTTAAACGATGAAAACATTAGAACCTAGATAACTTTCTGATTTTCAGGTAGAATTATGGACTTAAGTTATAACTAGCCAGGAGACATGTTAGTTAGTAGGAGATAGAGGGAACTTCCTGCTCCTGAATTACACTACTACATGTCTACTGATAAGCGAGATCAGGGATATTAAAATCCCAAATGACAACAACAATAAAATGTTGAGTGCCAGTGCAACACTACAGGGAGTTTATAAATAAAGCAAAAATAAACCCACAAAGACAGTTCTATTTTGGGTAGCACAGAAAGATAAGAATAGAGGCAAGATGAATATGTAAGATGCACGTATACCAAGCAGCAGGCACACATAACGTAATGATTGCTGTTTCCCAACTCTCAGAAGCCTGCCTGACTGAAAACTGATCACTCATTGCTCTCCTGGGCTTTTTCCTTTCTTAGCAGCTCTGCAGTGTTGTCCCTGTGAGTTCTGTACCAAAGTGAGGTGATGGTCTCAAGCAGGCTAAGAAAGTTTTGTTATTTTATTTCCTCCATCCCTTTCTTTTTTTCTTCCTTCTCTTCTCTGCCTTTACAAAGAAAAATGTTAAAAAAGGAGGGGTGGTGGAGGGGAGGATGTGAGGTTTTGATGAAGAATTCTGAATCTGTTTGGAAGAGGGTCATGGAAATCCTCTGACTGGGATAGGTGTGGGTACAATAAGGCTGTGCTGAGCATACTGAGCTAGTTTAATTGAGTTTGTTCAGTATTGGTGGAAACATTCTTTTTTCTTTTAATTTGTTTCTGCCTTGTTAATCTATTTCTGATTTCTCCAAACTATACACATGGAGGTATGCTATCTTCCTTCTGTCCTCGGGGAAGGAAAAGGGCGTGCTGTTTGCAAGTTATGCCTGTGCTCCTGTGTGTCACGACCCTTTTGGAGAGTCCGTTCAGGTTAGTGGTGTTTGCAAAGTTTTCTTGTCTCTGAAACCTACTCAGTGTCTCTAGAGTCTCCTGCTGAAAGAGGAAAACACTGTAACACATCATAGTGGGCTGCTTATTAGAAAACACAACTCTCATAGCAAATGACTTTTCTATGAAGTATAATAAATCATACACTTGGTAATAAGTAGAAAGTGTTAGCCATTGGAACGATCCTTTTCCTCTTGTCAAGATTAGGGCAATTAGATAGTCCATATGGATTTTCAAATTAAATATCTGCTCTGATTATGCTGCTTTAAAATATTTTATTTGAAGTAATAGATTGTTTGGTTATAAAGGCTGATATTTGTAGTGTACCAGGCTTCTTAAAAGAGCAAATTTTACTTCCCTATTTTTTAAATTTGTAAGTGAGTCAAAGACTTGGATTTAATTCATTATGTTCTCCCTCAAATATCTACCCTGCCTCTACCAGTTATTATAAGTCCAACCAAATACATTATAACCCCAAATTTAACCTTTCTCTGTTAAATTTGTTTAACTTCCCTGTTAAATGTGTTTAACCTGTTTGTAAGATATTTTAGTTGCTCATGACTGTTTAATATGCATTCTATATAAACAAGGAATTAAAAATGAAATGCTTTCAGCTCATGGTACTGTGAACATTTTTACCCTACTTTTCCTTATTGAGTAACGTTTCGTACTGCTTTTACTGCATCAACATAGTTGAAATTCAGATACAGAAATACTCATACTACCAGATTTAAACTTTGATTCCACTGGGGACTTCATTAGTAGGTGTCTTCTTCAGTTCAAAGGCAGCACTTGAGAGTTTTAAGACCCTCTAGTTTACTAATTAGCTTACCCCAAGGGCTGTTTTTAACATCGCTCAAACCTTTTTAACTTTTATTGATATGGGCATTTGCACATAACTGTTTTCAGTTTAATGTGTCCAGATCTCTAGTCACATTCAGGGACAAGTACTTTAGAACAAGTTGGAAATCCTGTTTAATGATTTTTTTTGTCATATTTATGTATATTTGCTTATGAGCAAATAATTTGTTTTGACTTACCTTTTATCTGACTAAGCATATTCTCTTTGTTGCTATTCCCTTAAGCCTTTAGATTACATAAATTAACTACATAATTACATAGATTAACTACATAAAGGTAAATTCATCATGAATTGGTAAATTGTGAAGTTAATCCTACCTAGTGGGAACTAATAAAAATAGAAAACTGACATTAATCTGTATTTATCAGAAGATATTCTAGGGATTAGTGTGCTCTCATGGCAGGTAAATATGTGATTAGTTTTATAAATGCAGCTGCCTTATTCTGTTTTCTGTAAATGATTACAATAAAATGTTTTGTTTAAATTATTTTATGTGAAGTTATGGCCAAGTTTTATCAGGAATCAGGAAAAAGCAACTGACATTAATTTATTGTTGACATTAAATTTACACTATAATACCACATAAGATGATTTCAAACCTTCTCATCATCTCCACTGAAACCACCAGAGTCCAAGTGCAATAGTGTCATAACCCCTCTTGGCTCCCTATAGTCCATCCCCTCATGCCACACACCATCATCCCCATCCCCATTATTCTCAGGGCTACAGCAAATTTTTTATGAATTAAGTTTGGCTGTGTCCTTCCCTTATTTAAAATTCCTCAATATTTTCTAATTGCATTTAGGAAAAAGAGCCATCATTGTTAATATATTGTTAAATCAATTTCACTTTGGCTTGAGGTTGCCTCTGTACCTTGAGTTGCTGTGTGGCAAACTGTAACCTAACTTAGTATTTAAACAAGCCAAAATCTAATTTAGAAGTATAACTAAATAAGTATAAACAAAATCTAATTAGAAGTATAATTTAGAAGTCAAAGAAGATCTTCCTTCTCTAATGTGTGTGTAAATATATAACATTTAATTATATGTTTCTTTGTGTAACTTAGTTTAATATTTGTCTTCCACATAATAATGCAGGCTCTATGAGGACAGAGGTCATTGTCTCTTTTATTAACTTCCGCATGTGAATACTTAGAATACTGTCACATAATTTATCAATACCTGTTTGTTGCTTCAATAAGTGAATAAAATATGGTATTGGATTTTTTGAGTTATTTTCAAATTTATTTAGTCTTCTTAGTGGTCTAGTCTTTAATGCAAAAATTAGCTTTCTTTTATAACCAAAATCTCTTCATTATTCTATTTCACATGAAAAAAAATTCTGAGCATCCTTGGAGGAAACGTACACTAGCGAGTATTTATATGCATGAAATATGGTTGGCAGAGAATACTGCATTTAACCCGTGAACTGATGAGTAATATTTGTGTTATGTTCTACATATATGACACAATAAATATGTGATACAAAAGAATCTAATCCTCAGCTGAAAAGGACATTCAGACCATGAAGTTTACTCGTCTCTTTAGACAATTCCAGGTTGTTGAAATAATGCAATTCAGTGTAGTTGTGAAATCTTTCTATGAAGAATAACCCATGGCTTTCTTCTACAAAAGATTTTTTATATTTTTCTCTTATAAAATACTTTTATACCTAGTCTACATGTTTCTATTTAGTAGTGTTAGAATGGAGCTAATCACAAGTTTCTAAATTTATGTTCTCTCAATTATGATGATAAAGTCATAAGATTAATTTCCTTGCATGGCTCCTTAAGTAACTCGGAAAATATTTTCTGAGGGTGGGATTTTAAAATAGTGTCTAAATGATACAAGTTGCAATAAATTGCTTTGAAAGAAAAAAATCATTTACGCATGTATGCTTACATGTTTCTTAGAAAACACTGGTTCCAAGTTCTGTTTCAATGGAATTTCTATACATTTAATGAAATAAAATATTCTGGAATCAAAGAGCAATTCTTGATGACTAAGAATAATATTTTTTTTCCAGATTTGTTAGGTTCTATGGTGTTGATCAAATTTTTTTCCAAAGCAATACATTATAAGGATATGATTGGTTACACTTTCTTATTCAAAATTCTGACTATGTGATATTGCCAGGCAGCTTCCTTTTTCACATAGATTAGTTTGATTCTACCAATCCCTTTCCGAGAAAATTGCCAATTGCATTTCATACCCATTCACTTGCCTTATGGATTGCATTTGTGGTTGATAGTCTATTAAATTACTGTGCAGATTGGATTCAGGCCAGTGGTTAAAATATTTCTATTAGACTTCAACAGCATACGTGTATCTCTTACAAATTCACATAACTTTCTCATCATTCTCAGTGTTTGATTCTGTCCAGAGAGGTTGAATTGGGTGCGACTCAATTTCACAGGTGCACATCAGCCAGTGGCTTTTCTGAGCTGAGTGTTTGATAACAGAGAGCAGTACCCATAGTCAGTGCAGAGGTTTGTGCATCATGACCAGCTTGCTATCAAAAGAGCCTTATGTCTCACATAAGTTACATGTTGTCAATAGAGAAATTTCCCTTTACTTTAATTATTAACTCCAAGAAATGTACATTTTTATTATTTATTATGGGTATTTGTAATGTGATTATTTCATCTGTGCCTTTTGTTGACCTTTTGAAAAAGGTAGCATGTGTTTGTTCCCTACCTTATTTAGACTAAAAACATCTGTCCCTACTTCATGACAAATAGCAGTCATGCTATCATTTTAAGAATCAAGAAACAGCTATGGATCAGTTTCAAGGATCAGTTTTATTTAGAAGTGACATATTTAACTCTGTTTATGCTTGCTTTTATTTTTGATTTCCTGAAAATCGCATGCGTTTTCTGAAAATGTCTGATAGAAACAGTAAGATGACGTCTTCCTTCTGTTATTTAATTGGCAAACAATATTTGCTCTTGGGATTCCTCATGCTGTGATACTGAACTGACTCTCTTAAATTTGATCTGTAATTCTCAGGGGATTGTAGAGACGTAGTAATGAAGTATGACAAAAGTTTCTGGGTTGGTACTATCAATCACTAATTATTATTTTGAAACTTTGAGAAGGCCGTGAAGTTAGTGAGAGCTTGTTATTCAGGGTGAATAATGTATCATAGTTGACTCCTTCCTCATTTGGCTGTTCTTGGATTCCATTTAGCGTTTGGCCTTCCCTTCCAAGGTGTGATGGTTAATTTTATGTGTCAGCTAGACTTGTCTAAGATATGGCCAGATAGCTGGTAAAAGATTATTTCTGGGTGTGTCTGTGAGGGTGTTTTCAGAAGAGATTAGCATTTGAACCAGTGGACTGAGAAAAGAAGATCTTCCTTCTCTAATGTGTGTGCGCATCATACAATTCATCGAGGACACTAATAGAACAAAAGGGAAAGGAAAGGAAGATTTATTTTCTCTATTCTTGATCTGGGACATTCATCTTCTCTTGCCCTTGGACATTGGAGCTACTGATTCTCAGGCTTTTAGACTCTGAGACTTTGCAGTCCAACTACATTAGGAAATTGTCTTAAGGCAGATGCCTTAAGGTAAATGGAAAATGAAGACATTGGTCTGAGTTTATCAGAGAAAGTATTTTGTGGCAATGGATTTTAAGCATTTTTAATAATGATCCAAGAGACTTATTTTTTCAGTTTGAGTTAGTGAAAATTCTATGATTTTCTTTCAAGGAAAGTCTAAAATTTCTTTTCCTGTGTCCCAGGGGAAGAAGAGAAGTCAGTATTAGTTTATACATATTATTTTAAAATGGGCTTTATTCAATGTACTTTATAGATCTATAATTTTGAAAAATGGCTTTCATTCCATTTTTACACCTAAAACATATTTATAAATTAGGGGATTTTTTTGTTGGTATTTCTGGAATCAAACCTAATTTATATCCATCCTAAATCAAATATATTTTATACTCAGAATGAGAATATTTGCCCTGAAATCTTACAGTACTCACTAGTCTTTTTTAAAAAAGCATATTAGTCTAGCAATCTAATTTAGGCAATGCCTGTTGAACAGAGTCAACTAACTCCAGTTTTGGTATAAAAATGCAGAATTGAGTATAAAATGAGCATACACAGTTAAAAATGGCAGGTAATATATGTCCTGTGACCACATGTTCTTTAATGTAATCATAGTCAGGACCTTAGGCTTTTTGTAAAATGATCTAACTTTGGAGAATATACTTTATCAAGAGAAAGAAGGTGCTGTGTTTGAGAAATGAATTGTTTTTTCGGTGTCCTGAATCTGTTGTTAATACATTGAAAGGTGATCTTTCTTTAGCATTGCCTCCAGTGTAATCAACTGAGGCATGTGAATGATGAATACCCACTAATTGTCCACTTACAATTGACAAATAGTATACACATTATAAGTCTTGGCAAGAAAATAAGTCTCATCCATTCAAATTTTACCAATGAAGATGTGTAAAGAAGAAAACAAAACCCTGTACTGAAGAAATGCTACAGCTGCAAATATTTGACTGACACTTGAATTTGCCATTGTATTTTGGTATTTCTTATCTATTAATTCAAAAATATTTATAGAGATCTATTTATTTGAGGCCCTGTCTGAGGTGATGAAGAATGCAAAAAAGATCTTTCTGATTCTATTATTTTTCTTACAGCCAATCAAGGAGTTATATGCTGTCATTTAAAGCAGCTTGAAATAATATTCCTACAGATACCTAGGAATAGCCTATATTAAATTTATTTCTGATTTTATTCAAATATCTAACAAATTTTTCTTTCTTATGTTCACCTTGATTTCCAAATGAAGGGGAGTTAGCAGACTTGGAAAACTGCAAGAGGAGAAGAGTAAGAGGACTCTCAAAACATTAAGATTCTATTGAAGCAAATGTGAATGTTTATTAATTGTCACATTCTTTTGAAGCCTTGAAGCCCAGTAGCAAAAAGCATAGGCGTTGACTGTGATTAAAATTTCATGGCACCATTTAACCGGATAAGAGAAGGACCTAAGGTGGGAGAGCTACACTCATGAGGTATACGGAAGAAAAAGGATAAAATCTAATATTGTTAAATGTGAATAACATCTGTTTTTAACAAAGGATGGTAATAATAATAGTGATAACAAGAACAATAATAGTAGCAGTTAATATTTTTTAAGTTCTTATGTTATCATTGTAAGTCCTTTACATGTATTATCTCAGCTAATTCATATAATAACTATATAACTACTATTAGTGTCATAATATGAACAGAGAAGCAAACTTAGGCACAAATCAATTGAGTATCCTCCAAAGATCGTCCATTTATTAAGTGTTCTGAGACTAAATCATTCTGCCTTTGAAGGAGAAGAATGCATTTGAATGTTTCCATACCACTTCAAAAAGCAAAACTTGCTTTGAAGAATAGTTTATTCTTTCTAGAGAACCATTTACCATTACTTTGGAAAAAAACAACATGTGTTTAATACCAATAATTTGTAAGACTCTAGATTTTATGTTAGAATAATTTATAGACTGTATGCCAAGGAGCTGAACAAAGGAGATGTTAAATTATCAATCCCCTAAAAACTGGTGACTGAATGAGGTATGATTCCTGTCTCACTTTGAGTTACATTGATCTAAGATACCTTTTGTGCCATAAGAACTCACCACAGAGTTCTCTTCTAAAGCACAAAAGCATATCACTACAGCATAGGTTTGATTTATGCAGGATGATGTAGAATAAAGAAAATTGCATTGAGATTTCTGTGACCTGATTTCTAATCTTGGCTCTGCTGATATGATCATGTGCAAGTCACTACGTCTCCCTAGCCCTTAGTTTAGTCATCTATAAAAGGAAGGGGTTAATTAGAGATTTCTAAGACCTACCCCTAGCTTTAAAATGTTATGACTCCATGATTCCTTCTCTTAAACACAATAGAAGCCAGTGAAAAATCAAAAGAGGATTATCTTCCATAACTTCCCACCCTTTTAATAAGGTTGGAAATTGCATTGAGGATATCAGAACAACTAGTAGCAGTGTATTTGGAATGTTTCAGTTCTGTCAGCTTTTTTTGTGAGTGAATCAGGTTAAAACATTTATTTTTAACATACGGATTTACCATAAATGCTTTCAATATGAAATCACTTAATTTAGTTGATTAACAGGAACTCACTAAAAATCAACAATTTAATCTTTCATTTATTGTGTATCTAAGGCACAACAACATGTACTAAGTGATAAAAAGATGAATCAAGCCTGTTATAAATGCATAATAACTGCCAATTACTGGGCACTGCAACATTCTAATTGTTTTGTAGGTACTAGGTCACTGATTCTCAACAGCATCTCTGTACCAGTCACACTGGCCTTATAGAACAAATGAGTGACCTGAGATATTACAGCTTGTAAGAGGTGAAGGTGAGAATGGAACCCCTGTCTGGCTGTAAATCTTGTGTTCTGTTTGTTATAACACATTGCCTCTCCTAAATAGCTGAAGATCAGTTTTCCCTCCTTCATCATCAGGGGTCCTGAGACATCACTGATGAATTCAGCCTAATTACTGTCATGTATAATTACAGTTTTTATGGTAAAATTTAAAAGTAAATTTATCAAAACAGCCATATAAAGGTTATGATCTGAGGAGTATTATTTTAGGTTGAAGGAGAGATCAGTCAAGGAGAGTCAGTCATTCATTTCCAGACAGCTGGCTTCATGAATTCCTCCTACTCGCCTTAGTGTGAGTCCATCTGTGTCTGTTGAGATGACTGTTTTAAATCTCCCATTTTCCAGGTCAACTGTTATATCACAATCCAAAGGAAGTTGTCTGACTCCATAATGTGACTTAGCAGAGAGCATCATGAAATATTCTGTGAGACACATATGGTTTGAAGGTTGTAGGATGAATATCACTGTGAGATTTTGGATCCAGTGATATTGAAAAAAACCTGTTTTTCTCAATTCCATGTGTTTTCAAAGATTAGAACAAGAATGTTTGGTTTCCAAGCTGGCTATAAGAAAGTGATTGCCTGATGTTCTCCAACTTAACCAAATCATGCAACAAAAATGAAAAAGCCCAGAAGTAAAACAATTTCATAAATTGCACCTATGGGGAAATTTGTACCTAAAGGAAAGGACTCAATTCTCCTTACTTAAATTAGCTGTTAATGCAACCTTAATAAACATCTTTTCCACTGATATCACTGAGTAGGCTGCTTGAATACAGATCAGAAACAAAGCACTGCTTTCTTATTATTTCCTTCAAAACAGTAATGAAGTTAAATAAACTCACCAGTTTTGTTTGTTTGTTTCTATTGGGAAAATACATTTTTTGAATAATACTGTTACAGTTCAGTTTCAGAAAGGAAGCAATCATTTTGTTTAGAATTATCATAAATCTATGCTAGTTGCATAGGATATTCTCAATTTTGGTCAAAATGGAGTCCTCAAGCCATTTAACTGACACTGTCGGCTGTTACAGGAGGGGAACTACTTGAGCAAAAGGCCCAGTGGATTTGAGCCAAGTTCCAGAAGAGCAATGAGAATATCATAACCTCTCAGGAGGTGAGAGCCATTCGGAGGAAGGCTAAAAACTTAGGCTGCCCAGCTCCTTTTCTGATACAGGATATAGTCTTGGAAAAACCTGCGTTCTCTGTTAATATTCTGATTCTCTATTTAATATGTAGTTTTTGAACTTCGAATCCTGATTAAACTAGTAAATCTGTTAATGAAAGGCTATGGGATATACAGCATCCTGATACATTTGTTACAAAAAAAATGCTTTGAAAGAAAAAATTGTTACCAGCTAGAAAAACATATAAACAGTCTATAAACCATTATGAAAGTTATCTCCCTTAGCCCTTTCAGGAGTAATTTCTACACCTGCTCAACCTCTTCACACTGTTAGGCTAAGAGAACACAATGTATATCATCATCATGTTCACTCAGAGATGAATCATGTAAAATTGAGCAGGTTGCTGAGTGGGTCAGGACATGATGCATTTCTTTTAGGCCTGTTGCTTTATTTCCTTCAGAGCCTTTTTATTTGAACAAATTGCTGCTCTGTAAGGTGGATTTAAGGAATTAAGATGATTGAAGCTGCATAATCAGACTAAGGACAGATTTAAGGAAATTACCTTTTCTTCTTGCTGAAGTCTAGATTAATGAGGAAAGACACACTATTCCCATTACATTATTAGAATACCTAGGCAGATCCTTATCCTGGTTTCTGTATTCCAATTTCAAGCTTGCTTCGCCTTTTAAAACTCCCTTAGCCATTTTAACTCTTCATATTCAAAAGATAACCCCAAAAGTTACTTCACAAATAATTAGGGATATTCAATGAGAAGATTCTCAGCTACCTATAGCCACCATATCCTAAAGCTCCTTTCATTTGGCCTCAATAGTGAGGTGCACTTCCAACCAAATCCTATTCTCCTGCCTCCTCCAGGACTCTGCTCTGCCATCTGCCCTCTTTCTGTTTTGGATCTTCTTTCTCTCCTCTAGTTCCAGCCTCTCTTTCTGCACTGGCTTTCTCCTTCAGCGTGCACAGATGATTCATATGATACAGTCACATGTTCCAGAGCCACATCCAGAGACAAAACAAAAGAAAAACAAAAGGAAAGCTTTTTTCTTTGACTCTGGATCTGCCTCTAGCTATACTTTATTTCTCTTTTCTTTTTCTAAACCAAGCAGTTTGGATGAATTGCCTGAACATGCTGCCTCATTTTTATATGGTTGTTAACTTCATTAAGCTATAATGCAGCATGGTGCATAGATCTTAAGTATACAGTTTGATGGGATTTGACTAATTTATACACTTAAATAACCACTACTCCATTCAAGATATAAAGCATTTCCATCATCCCTGGAAGTTTCTTCATGCCCCTTTTCAGTAAATCTTTGGCCTGCTTTTCTCCGCACTTGTCTGATTTCTATACAGGTACATTATATATTCCCTGTCTTTTTTTTTGTCTTCAAGTTTTTCCAACAACCTCAAACTTAGAAACTTTTCGTAAACACAGTGCAAAAAAACGTTTTCACGAATCATTTAAAATTGCCAACCGGTTACCCCCTCAAATCTGAATATTTTAGTGTGTTTTTCCTCCAGCAAAGACGTTTTCCTACTGGACCGCAAAGCAGTTATCAGAATCTGGACATTAGCACTGAAGCAACACTAACAACTAATTCTCAGGATCCAATTAATTTTCACCCGTAAATGTCCCTCATTGCAAGAGGAACCAGTTCAGAATCACACACTGCATTCAGTTATAGGTCTTGTTAGCCTCCTTTAATCTGGAACCAGTCCTCAGTCTTTCCAGACTTTCCTTACAGTGGCATCTTTGAAAAGTACAGGTCAAATATTTTATAAATTGTTTTGCAAATTTATTTGGCATTTTCTCATGAGTAGATTCAAATTACACATTATAGGTAAGACAATCCCAGGAGTGATATTGTGTTCTGCTCATTGCATCCTGTCAGGTGGCTTATGACATTAATTTGTCCCTTTATTAATAATGCTCACAATGATCACTTAATTAAGATGCCACCTTTCAGGCTTTTCCACTGTAAATTACTCTTGGTCCCTTTGCAATTAGTAAATATTTCATGGGGGTGGTAATTTAAATCTATGTAAATATCTCATTTCTTACCAAATTTTTAGATTACATGTGTTTGTCTGTTCTTGCACTACTATGAAGAAATACCTGAGTCTGTGTAATTTATAAAGAAAAAAAGTTTAATTGGCTCACGGTTCCACAGGCTATACAGGAAGCATGATGCTGGTGTCTGCTCAGCTTCTGGGGAGAACTCAGGAAACTTACAATCATGGCAGAAGGCAAAGAGGAAGCAAGTGCATCTTACATGGCTGGAGCAAGATCGTGAGAGAGTGGGGAGGTGCTGCACACTTTTAAACAACCAAATCTCGTTGTTTTGCCACAACACCATCAAGGAGAATGATGTTAAACCATGAGAAACCACCCCTAGACCCACCAGGCCCTACCTCCAACACTGGGGATTACAGTTTGACAGGAGATTTGGGTGGGGACACAGATCCAAGCCATATCATTACATATTTCTTTATTTCTGTTTGTATAAACTCTGGTTTTCTATTTTATTAAATAAATTAAAATCCATTACTATTATTGTCTATTCTGATACTCAAATTGGCAAAGATTTGACCAGGGCCAGCTCCTTTGTGCTGGCTTCTTTGTCCTCTTGACATGTCTTTACTCTTTGATACTTATTTTATGGCATAACGGAAGATTCAGACTCAACTCTTAGTTTTTTTGCCCCATGCCTGGAATCAAATATTTCTACTAGGAACCTTGGTTCTTTTAAAAGGAAAATGTTTTTTAGTATGCAAAATCTGGTTACACTCATGACTATGTATGCAACACTGCTTCCAGGCTCTCTCAATGGATAGGACTAGGGAATATATGCAAGTTCACAAACACACACACACACACACTCACTTGCATCTATATTTATAACTCTCTCCATATATACTGGAAACCATAAGTTCACACTGAAATTTCCAATTCCAATCTAACACCACAGAGTTCATTCTAGTTTTCTCTATTTCTAGATTTGTAACTCCCTTCTCTGACAGTGAAAAACAGGCTCCCATTATTCTAAATATTTTTACTTATTTGATGAATTTTCCTGTATGTAACTGATCTCATTCCTGCCACTGCCCTCTTCCCCCAAGAATATCCTTCTGCTAAGGTATAGCAAAGATTATGTGCTGGAAACTTAATGCCCAATGCAATAGTGTTGAGAGGTGGGATGTTTATGAGGTGATTAAGTCATGAGGGCTCTTCCCTCATGAATGAATTAATGCTGATATAATGAGAATGGGTTCTTGAGAAGAAGGATGAGTCTGGTCTCCTTCCTCTCGTTCTTTCCCTCTGTTGCCTTTCTATCTTCTGCTATGGGATGACACAGCATGAAGGCCCTCCCTATATGCCAGTGCCATGCTCTTGGACTTTCCAGTCTTCAGAATTTTAAGCCAAATAAACTTATACTGTTTATAAATTACTCAGTGTGTGGCATTCTGTTATATCACCACAAAATGAATGAAGATACCTCCTTAACACCACTCACAGTGACTCTGATAAATCTGTGCCAGGCTACCACTACCATGTGCTTTTCACCACAATAGGGCTCTGAGATCCCATGCAAGGCACTTCCTCCACCAGCAGGGTCCCCTTCTTACCTCAGCTTGACCTCCTTTATCCTGTGCTGGCTGCTGTCACCCTTCCTGAGTGGATACTTTCCTTCTTTTGCCTGTACCCTGACACTTTGTGCTGGGCCTCCGTGCTGGGGTAGAACACTTCTTCTCTTTGCCTGGGCCCACTAAACCCATGATCAGCCATCTTCCCTAATTCCTGACATGGGTGTTCTCTTTCCCTTTCTTGACCTTGACACTCTGAACCTCGGTGTTCCTCATGCCCTTAGTGTACTGTAGCTATCTTCCCATCACTATCCTCACCCCACAGAGGCTCTGACACACTGCACTAGCCCATTGCAGTCTAACCCCACCCAATCCTTAGGCTGATGCCTTTCTTGCTTGACCCTAATGAGAAGATTTTGGATTAAGTTGTTCAGAAAGGGAAAGGAAAGGAAGGGAACTGTTACTGACAAAGTTGTTCTCCCCTCTTCCACACACACCCCCCCAGTTCATATGTTGAAGCCCTAACCCTCAATGTGACTGTATGGAGATAGGGCCTTTGAAAAGGTAATGAAGGTTAAATAACGCCATTAGGGTGGGCCCTAATCCAATAGGACTGGTGTCCTTATAGAACAGGAAGAGACATTAGGGAAGTTCATTTAGAGAAAAAAAGGCCATGTGAAGGCACAGTGAGAAGGTGGCCTTCTGCAAGCCAAGGAGAGAGGCCTCAGGAGAAACCAAGTCTGTTGACATCTTGATCTTGGACTCCCAGCATCCAGACTGTAAGAAATAAATTTATGTTGTTCAAGTCACTCAGTCTGTGGCATTTTGTTATGGCAGCCCTAGTGGATTAATATACGAAGATAAAAGAAAGAGCTGCTTCTATTTTTTACTTTATGTTGCAAGCTAATTCAGTCCTCGTGATGGTATTGGATCTACTTTTGTTAAGGTCATGGAGAATTTTCAAATCTAAGTGAAATATTTTAAATCTCCAGTTAGGAAGAACTATAGCATTGAGCACTGTTGATTACTCCTTCCTTCTTAAATTCATGACCATATTGATCAAATAGAGCTTGTCATTTTGGTATCAAATATACTAGTTCTTCAAGAAGCACATGCTGTCTCCACCACTTCTGTCTAATATGAAACCACCACTTGCACTTTTGGCTTCCCAGATTAGGGAGATTATTTTTAACTGGTTAAATTAGTTCTGGTTATTAGGCGTTAAATATGGGCATTAGTGGCATTAAAAAAGAGGTATCTAGGATCCCATAAGAAAGATTTGTGGCTCATACTATTTGTTTTCACCTTGCCTTGTAATCAGTCCCCACAAATCCGCATAATTTTTCTTGCATGCAAGGCATCTTCTTATGAAATGAGACCATATTTGTGACTTTCAAAATTCTTCCACATTGTCTATGATAGTGTACATGTGCAAACAATGGGAAATGCTCTCATGTCTGTGGTTGTCTTTGTAGTGGCCACTGGCAGGAAAGCCAGGAAGTTACTGCTGCAAACAGAAATAGGCTCTTAATTGCTTATGGACTCTCTTTAAAACTGCCTAATTAGGTGTACTGGTCTGTCTGCTGGCAAATTAGGAGGCCCCATGTGTTATTCCTAGGCTGCAGTTTTGAAGACACATGGGTCTCAGGCCAATGCCTGGTAGGAAAATGCTTTTATCTCTTTCAGAACAAAGCAATATTCCACAGAATGTCAGCCCAGTTCATCTTACTGGTATTGTCCGTGGATGTTTTCATGTACATGTTTCATGTACATGTACATTTATTGAGTCAAATAAAACTCAATATATATTTTTTATTATACCTACTTTCTTTCTTAAAATCTCTAGCTCAATTAATGTCAGCAATTTATCCAGCTGTACAAATTTTGGAATCCTTTTCTCTCTCTTCTTCCACATCCAGTCCATAACTATGTCTCACTGACTTTGCTCTGTAATGTATCTCCTCTCAGTCAACTGCTCTCTGCACCCACTGTTAGCAGCTTTAGTTCAGAGCTCCATGCTTTCACTGTTGGACTACTGAAATGCCTTACTAGCTGTTTTCTTAGAGGAGATCTCATAGTCTAGTAGGAAAGAGTTATTATCCAGATATTTGATTTGTTGTATATATATATTTTGTTGAAGGTGGAAGATAACCCTTGTCAACTCCATAATCCAATCAATATCTTCCACCATCCCTGCAACATCACAACATAACATTTAGACACCCAAGAATACAAAAATACGAATGTTGAAAACCTGTTACCTAAATTGCTTTGTTTTGTGATAACCTAAGAACACTTTTTTTCATCCAGATAGAATCTAAAAATAAAAAATACCGTATTATAAACAGTACTACTACTACCAAGTTTAGTTATTTATTTGCCCACAATATGCCACCTCTACTCCCTAACCCCCTACCCCCCACAGTGGCTCATCTGAACTTTATATAGAATGCATAGAATAATTGTATATGCTTTGAAGGGATTTTCATAGAGCAGGGTTATCTGCATTTTGGTGTCTTCTGGCATGGATTTGAGTGTCTTTACCTTTTGGTCAGGCACGTCTATGCTTAGGTCTCTGCCTGCCTTTCTGCTGGATGAATATTAGCACAGATGTGAAATCTGGAGAGGACTGAGGCATGTATTAAAGGTAAATAAAAGTAGTCATGAGTTCTGAGTAAGAACAGATGATCAAGCAAAAAGAGCTCTCTGAAGGTTAAATGAGGTTATACATATATGGAGAGAGATCTGTGTTCAGTGCTGGACTCATAGTAGAAAGTCAGTGTTAAAAGAATTGGTGAGTAGATGTTAGAGGTGTCAAGGATTGCCTTGAATGTTGGATGGTTTGTGAGTCTGGCAGGGTTGACAAGACGTGATACCTTGGGCTGGCTTAAGGGACTGTCATTGTGCAGTCATGCATTCTTTGTGTCTAGCAGTGTTTAATTCATATTATATTCTGGTTAAATATGTTTGCATATTTAAATTGTTTATTGGATGTATGGGAAATTTACTAATTATTTGGCATTATTTTTTCATTGACTGGATGTTAGGTACGCTGTTGATTTTTTTTAGAAGGCAATGTATTAATATATCTTTACTATCTCTTTGATATGACAATTTCCTAGTATGGACAGAAAACTATGAACCATGCACTGTTATTCCCACCTGAGAGATATGCCCTTTTAGTATGACAATGATCATAGTGGATCTTTGGCCTGTTTTCAGATTTTCCATATCAGGTGTTTATTTTCACCTGCAGTCAGCCTTAGGATTTAACTAAGTTTCCAAAGTACCTGTAGCATTGTTATTCCTGGCAGCCTAAAACACTCATACTTTTGCTCCCTTTCCCAGTATATTTTGGCAAGTGTTGAAGAGCAGCAAGGAAAGAAGAGTTTGGGCCCCCTTTTTGATCTAGATGAAATGGAGGCATTGTTGTCAAAGGCCCTACAACTTGTTCATATGCACCTATCACTTTATGACACTTAAACCCTAAGGCAAGGAAGAAAGTAGCTTCCCTGCAGATTTCTCAGCATCTGAGCAGATGGGTGTGATCTTAAGCAGCCAACATTGCCCATATGTTCCTAATGTTGAAAGGAGGATTCTGAGCCAAGAATGACTGCAAAAGCCTGTCTCATCATACCTCCTCTCTCAGGTGGCAGCAATAAATATGGTCCCCAGTAGGATTAATTAAATAAAATGGAAAGCACTGTTGAACATTATGGGATGAAATGGAAGATACTGTATGGAAGGAAGTCCAATGGTGATTTGATCTCAGTGGGAAATGTTGGAGAAAATTCCTAACAAAATTTTCATTAGGACATCATCAAATTGGTCAGCATGTGTTTGCAACTATGAGTTAGTTAGTACAGAAGCTGTAAGCCATAAAAAACACATGTGACCAAGCTTCAGGCCTACAGAAGCAGATATTAAATACAATGTTTGTTAAATATCAGCTTTTTTTCTGGTACATTATGAAGTGTACTCAATATTAAAAGACGCTTACTATACCTGAAGATTTTTTTCCCTAGAATGTTTCAAATAGTAATTTCTTTCTGTAGCTCTCAGTGACTCTATATGCTTATCAAATAGCACAGACTAGAACCCAGTCTCTCCTTTTGAAAGTTATGATCTATGATGACACACTTTTGTATATTACCACACCATTGAATATCTGTGGAGGTAGAACACACCACTAGGCTTTCTTTGATAGTAATTTTTTTTTTTTTTTGAGACAGAGTTTTGTTCTTGTTGCCCAGGCTGGAGTGCAATGGCGTGGTCTTGGCTCACTGCAACCTTCACCTCCCAGCTTTAAGCAATTCTCCTGCCTCAGCCTCCTGAGTAGCTGGGATTACAGGCACCCACCACCACACCCAGCTAATTTTTTTTTTTGTCTTTTTAGTAGAGATGGGGTTTCACCATGTTGGCCAGGCCAGTCTCGAATTCCCAACCTCACGTGATCCAACTGCCTCAGCCTCCCAAAGTGCTAGGATTATAGGTGTGAGCCACTGCGCCCTGCTGATAGTAACATTTTTACACATTAGTTGAGTAAGAATAAAATACTTTTTCATAGGGGCAAAAAATAAAGTGTTTGTTAATAATTATAATATTCCCACAGGAGAAACATAATGCAGAGAGGTTTATTTCAATTTCAATTGTAAAAATTAGAAACATAATCATTACAAAGTAAAATTTATTTCTTATATTTATCTGGATATATTCATGTAAATGTATAGTTTAAATAAATTTTTGTTTTCTAAATGTAACATGCTACCAATGTTGTTGATGCTGTGTTAAAATTAGTCTTAAGCAAATAGATACTCTGGCTTCTCTTATACAGGGAAAAGAAAAAATTGAATGACAGGTCCCAGTTTTTCAAAAAATTGGTTTCCTCTATAAAATATAAAATTAAGTGCTAGTTAAATATGAATATTAGTACTTATGGACTATACATACAGTGAGTCAAAATATTGCAGCTGTACATAACACTGAACCATAGCCATTACTATCAATTTTCTCCTCTGTATTGCAAAGAAGCTGGCCAAGAGTTTGAGGCTCACTCAGTTCAACAAAAATACTTAGTGAGGGGTTTCTTGCTGCTGAATAAGAAAGTACCACTTTCTGTTTATCCCAGAGCACCTCAGATGATCAGTACTCAAGATCATAGAAGTCTAAATGAGTACAACTTAATGTGAAGTTTTGTTCATATCTAGATCAGAGTTTGGAGAAGGTGGAAAGATACTGGGTGCTGTGATTTGAATTTTTCCCCAAAATTCAGGTACTTAAATTTAATCACCACTGTAACAGTATTAAGATGTGAGGCAATAAGATTAAGTCAGGAAGGTATTCGATTAAGAGGGGATTAGGGCCCTTATAGAAGGACTTGAAGGAGCAGGTTCATTCCCTTTCCTTACTTCCACCATGTGAGGACATAGCACTCATCCCCTCCAGAGCATGCAACAACAGGGTACCATCTTGGAAGCAGAGAACAACACCAGACACTGAACCATTCATTCAGTTCCTAGATCTTAGACTTCCCAGCCTCCAGAACTGTGAAAAATACATTTCTATTACTTATAGATTACTCAGTTTGAGGTATTTTGTTATAGCAGCACAATTAGACTGTGAAAGAAATTGATACCAAGAGTGGGATGTTGCTATAACAAATACCTGAAAAGGTAGAAGTGGCATTGGAACTGGATAATGGATAGAGGCTAGACTACAAAGGGTTATTCTGCTGAGGGCTCAGAATCATAGAGGTAGGAAAAGCATGAATCTTCTTAGGGATTACTTAGGTGATTGTGATCAGAATGTTGATAGAAGTATGGATGATAAAGGGCAATTCTGATGAGGTCTTAAATGGAAGTGAGGGACAAGGTATTGGAACTAGAGGAAAGGCCATCCTTGTTATAAAGTGACAAAGAACTTGGATAAATTGTGTTTATGTACTTGTGTTTTGTAAAAGGTGGAATTTAAGAGCAATGAACTAAGATTTTGCAGAAGAAATTTCTGCAAAGTGTTCAGGGTGCTGCACAGATTCTCTTGACTGCTTATAGTAGACTGTGAAAAGGGAGAAATGTATTCAAGATGAAATTAATAACCAAAAAGGAAGCAGAACTGAAGTAGCTGGAAAATTCTCAGCCTGGCCAGGTTGTAAAGAATGAAATGCTATGTTTAGAATAGAACACCGAAAGTATAGCCAAGTGACTGATAAGATTAGTATGGATAGAAGGAAGCCAGATGCTATTCATCAGAACAATGGAAGAATGACCCTGAAGGCATTAGGGAGATTTTCAAGGCTGTTATTCCCATTGCAGGCCCAGAGTGCTTATGTCCTTGAGGGCAGAATGGTTTCAAGAGATGGGCCCAGGGTGCCTGTAGAAACTTGGTTCTCACTGCTCAGGGCTGTTTCAAGTTTCTGTTTCATATAAACTGGCTGGGTGATCCTTGGCTGCCTCAGCTATGGCTCATGCAGGCCCACGTGTGGCTTGGACTGGCCCTCTAAAGGGCATAAGTAGTAAGCATTGGCAGTGTCTGTGTGGTAGTAATTCTGCAAGTGTGCAGAGTACAAGAGCTGTGAGGGTATGGCTATCTCCACCTAGACTTCAAATGATTCCATAGAGAGACTTGGGGCACAGGCAGAGAATAGCTACACATGTATGGTTGCCACAGAGAGACCCTACTAGGTCATTGCCAAGCAGAGCAGTGAAGTTGGAGCCACCACAGAGAGGCCCTGCTAGGGCAATGGTTAGTGGAACTGTAGACCCAGGGCCACCTCCCAGACCTCAGATCTATAGGGGCAGCAGCATGCAATACCAGTCTGGGAGAGCCTGAAAACACCTGACTCCAATGCCTGAGAACTGTTGTGTGGTTTATGCCCAGTGAAGACATGGGGGCAGAGCTCTCTGGAGCTTTGGGGACCCAACACTGACCCCTTTGTATCCAGAAATAGGACATGGAGAAAAAATTATTCTCATGCCTCAAGATTTAATGTTGTTTATCTTGTCGGGTTTTGGACTTGGGACATGTTACTCCTTTTTTCTTTTCTGTTTCTCCTTTTTAGAATGGGAATATTTACCCCATGCTTGTCCCACCACTGTATTTTGAAAGCACATATTTTTGTTTTCTTCAGGCTCACAGCTGGAGGGCAATTTGCCTCAGGATGAATCATACCTTGAGTGTTACCCATATCTAATTTAGATTATATATAGATAAGACTTGGACTTAGACTTTAAAGTTAATGTTGGAAAGAGTTTAGATTTTTGGGGCTACTGAGATGGGATACATGTATTTTGCCTGTGAAAAAGACATAAATTTTGGGAATGAGGGGGCAGAATTCTATGATCTGAATCTCCTTCAAAATTCATGTGTTCAAACTTAATCACCAATATATTAGGTTGGTGCAAAGGCGATTGTGGTTTTTACCATTAAAAAATCACAATCGCCTTTGCACCAACCTAATAGATTATTAAGCAGTGGCGCCTTTGGGAGGTGATTAAGTTCAAAGAGTGGAGTCATTATGTACTGATTTAGAGCTCTTATAAAAGGGCTTGAGGAAGTGTTCCTTTCTGTTCCGTTCACCATGTGAGGACAGCATTTGTCAGCCCAGAGGATGTAGCAATAAGGTGTCATTTTGGAAGCAGAGTAATCCTCACCAGACACCAAACCTGTCAGTGCCTTAATCTTGGTCTTCTCAGCCCCCAGAGCTGTGAGAAATAAATACCTATTATTTATTAACTACCTAATCTTTAGGTTTTTTTTATTTTGTTACTGTGGCACAAATGGACTAAGACACAACTAGGCTCTGCATCTTTCTCTGGTATTTGCTGGATACATGCTCCTGAATATCCATTCTTAATCTTTAAAACGAGGGACAGTGGCTGGGTGTGGTGGCTCACCTCTGTAATCCTAGCACTTTGTGAGGTCAAGGTAGATGGATCATTTGAGGCTAGGAGTTCAAGACCAGCCTGGCCAACATGCTGAAACCCTCTCTCTACTAAAAATACAAAAATTAGCCAGGTGTGGTGGCAGGCACCTGTAATCCCAGCTACTTGGGAGGCTGAGGCAGAAGAATCACTTGAACCTGGGAGGCGGTGGTTGCAGTGAGCTGAGATTGCACCACTGCACTCCAGCCTGGGCAACAAAATGAGACTCCATCTCAAAACAAACAAACAAACAAAAAACAAAATAAAATAAAATAATAAAATAAGAGACAGCAATATCAACTCTGCCTAGTGAAAAGTTGTTGAGAGAGTATAAGTCTGAAAGTTTTTTGTGAATTCTGAAGTGTGGCCTCATTGTCATACACATTGTTGTTATGTGACATAGTAAGCAGTTGGGCATGACTTTCAAGTTTCTATCTGGGGTAGCATCTTTGATGCCCTACATTATTTGCTTGAAAGCTCATTACATTAGCCTTCTTATAACATTGTATGAATGGCTGTGATGAATACATTGAACTATACCTATAAAACCGCTTGCATGCTGATCTGCTAATTTGGTTCAAGCTACACTGATATTTCTGATAACCTTTATGGTGCAGCAACACTTCCAAGCCCTTTTGTCAACTTGGTTAACCATCTCAGCTTTGAATAGTTAAATAAATATATGTGTGGGCAGAAGGATTTAAAGGTTGCAGTGGCCTTTAAAGGTCACTTCTAGGCCAGGTCCAAGAGCTGCAAAAGTAACTTTGTGTTTGGTAAGTGAAGTAAAATCTTAATAGTGAGGTAAAATGAACATAAAGTTTCCTAGTATTAATACTTTGTGTTTGGAACTGCATGCTCATTTGCTTCAGCATTTATCTGATTGCACAGGTGCAATGCTTTCTGTGTCAGCAGGACTGAGGTAAGGGGAGTATGCACTTAGGTGCTTTGGTTATGCCATTTATGCACAAGGTTTTATTAATTCCATTTCATATAAACCTGATTTTGTTCTCGCTCTGTTTTTCTTTCTCTCCATCTCACACATACGTATACTCTTTCACATAGTATATTCTATGCACTTTAACTATGGAAAGGTCATTAGATTTGTATGCTCAGAAATTCACTCAGCTTGGTTGAAATGGGTAAAATAGGATTGACTACCAGTGCTAGTGAACGACCAAATTAGCTTTTGCTATCTCCATCTTTTACTCTGTAAATCATCTACAATTTACATTAAAAGTGTTACATTTGTCCTGGAAAGTTCATTCCATAAAGTCAGTGTTACTACCTGATTGGTCAAACAAAATAATATAAAATGTCTACTTAATTTGGGCATATACGAATAAATGGAGGAGAGAATGATAAGGATGATGGAAACAGGTAAAAAAGAAAAAAAAACAAAAAATGAGAAAGTAAAGATTGAAAGAGAATACAGAGAGAATGAAAAGGGCATTGAGCAGGAAGATAGATTGTAATTAGAGAAGTGAGAGATGAAGGGGACGACTCAGAGCCTTTCCCCCTTCTTTCTAGTTTGGTATGGCCAGTGACCCTAAACTGTTCCAAATGGCATCGTGATATTCTCCTTTTCTTTTCTTTTCTTTTTTTTTTTTTTTTTGAGATGGAGTCTTGCTGTGCCGCCCAGGCTGGAGTGCAGTGGTGCAATCTCGGCTCACTGCAAGCTCCGCCTCCCAGATTCACGCCATTCTTCTGCCTCAGCCTCCCGAGTAGCTGGGACTACAGGTGCCCGCCACCACACCCAGCTAATTTTTGGTATTTTTAGTAGAGACGGAGTTTCACTGTGTTAGCCAGGATGGTCTCGATCTCCTGACCTCATGATCAGCCCGCCTCTGCCTCCCAAAGTGCTGGGATTACAGGCATGAGCCACCGTGCCTGGCCGATATTCTCCTTTTCATGAATCCTTGTCCATGTCCTCAGAAGTTCTACCTTAGGCATAGCCTTATTCATGTCTTCCTCATTCCACTGTGGCTTAGGGATTCCTCCGTCCTGCCGTCACTTCCTGTCTTCCCACCTAAGGAGAATGAAGCCTGTATTACTCTGCTTAGGCTGTCATTACAAAATACTGTTGACTGGGTGGTTTAAGCAGCAGAAATTTAGTTTTGCAGAGTTTTGGAGGCTAGAAGTCCCAGATCAAGGTGCCAGATGATTCAGTTCCTTGGGAGGTCTCTTTTCCTGGATTACAGATAGCTACCTTTTTGCTCTGTCCTCACACAGCCTTTCTTCTCTGTTCGTTGTGGTGGAGGGGGATCTCTCTCTGTCTCTCCTCCCTCCTCCTCCTCCTCTTCCTCCTCCTCCTCGTCCTTCGTCCTTCTCTTCCTCCTCCTCCTCCAGTTTTATTAGATTGAGACCTCACTTTATGACCATATTTAACCTCAATTATCTCCTAAAAGTCCTACCTCCAAATATAGTCACATTAAAGTTTAGAGCTTCAACATCTGAATTTGGGGACAGCGTGTACAATTAAGTCCACAGCAAAGCCTCTTTCTGTGTTGCCACAGAAAAAGGGGAGACCCACATTCTACCATCACAGAAATCAGAAATAGGTCACAAAAATACTCTGCTGTCTTCTAACTTTTCCATTTCCTACAAGCACAGTTCATTGTTTAAACTATGCATCTTCAAACCTTCAAGCAAGACACAGTCACAGTGTGTCTTCCAAGATATGGAGATTTATTAATACATGAAAATAACTCAAAATGTCAAATAAAAGTGCCTTGAAACCTAGTTCCTTTTATGTAGCTGATGTTTAGACAGCTTCTTCTGTTACTGGAGCCCACTTGGTTGCTGGCCACTCATCCTTGTCCACTCCAGTAGCTTTCCTGTGACTGAGTATGTGCTTGAGTGCTTCTCATTACAAGCAAGCCACTCTGATGTTTATGTTCATTGCTGGCCTGGCCTCTGACTCTTCTTTTCCTAAAATACTAAGATTTGCTACTTCTCCCTTCCTATCTGGCATCAACAAATCTTTGAGGCACTTTTTTCCAGATTTAGGTACTTTCCTAATATAAGCAACATATCTACTTTTTAAAAGTTATTTATCAAATTTTGAAATTTCAGAAGTTTCAGGTATTTATTTATTTTTGTAAATAGTTGGCACATTTCCTAACTTGGTTTATAGTTCTCGGATCCCCTAAATGGCAATTAAGTTTCTGATATTCCTTTCCAGAAGCAAACACACACTATTAATAAAACAGAGTATGTGTTTGTTTATATGTCCTATTGCCTCTATCCTCAGAAGTTGGAGACTTCTGAAGATACAGGCAATAGCATATATAAACACACACAAAAAAGCCAGGACATCTCCTGTGTTGGTATTGTGTATTATTATTATCTATATATTCTTTAGTTGGTATTATCTATATATTATTTAGATGGGTTTCAGTCAGTGAATAAGGTTCCTACTGGATGCCCAAAACGTCAGCGGGCATTCAGGTGAAGGCCCAAATTCTGGCATATTTGTTGCCTTTTGCTTTAGCCATTCAGATAGCTCCTGGTGGAAAAACCTAGGTCTATAGTTGTGATTTCTGAGACTCCGTGTAGGAGCTGCAGGAACTCTGAATGGAAGGCTGAGTTGTGAAAACACTCAGGCCCAGGGCTGAGATTTCTCATCAGCAGGTATACCAAGAATCCAGCCTGGTGCTTTTCAGCCCTCAGCAAAATGCCTGCATTCCTTTAATCCTAGTGATGACATATGAGTAATCACTCATTAACACCAAGAACATTTGCTATTTCTCTGTTGGCACTGTGAGGGCGACAACTAACAGGCTTTTCTCCCTTGATATAAGAACCCATGAAGAAATGCAGAATAGTCAATTAAGTTGCCATTAAAAAGAAATCATTCTTTGTGGTAATCTTTGTAAAGGTTTCCTATATCTGTCTAGAAAGTTTAGGTTTGAAAGCACTTGGAAGGTCAAGAAAACAATTAGTACATGTTGAGTTTGAGTGTGTGTGTGTGTGTGTGTGTGTGTGTGTTCTGAGACAAGGTCTTGCTCTGTTGCCCAGGCTGGAGTGTAGTGCTGTGATCATAGCTCACTGCAGCCTTGAACTCCTGGGCTCAAGTGATCCTCTCATCTCAATTTCCCAAATATCTGGGACTCACAAGGGCACACAACAGCACCCAGCTTATTATTATAATTTGTAACTCTTTTTTTTGTAGACACGAGGGTCTTGCTTTATTGCCCAGGCTGGTCTCGAACTCCTGTCCTCAAGTGCTCATGCACTCCTTCTGAGCTGGCCTCCCAAAGTGTTGGGATTACAGGTGTCACTGGGCCCATGTTAATTGTTTATTGTTTGTCCAACACATGACGTATGCAATATATTTTCCATATGAATGTAATGACATACACACGATTGAGGTTTAAAATCCGTTCTTTCTGTTTATGCACATATGATTTAAAAAATATTTCTCCCTTGTGACAAAGGGCATAAGATACATACGTGGAGGTCAGTCTAAAGCAAGGAACAGACATTTATAATCTGTATGGAAACTTAACTAATGGTTATAGCATTCAAAAATGATGACCCACTTTTCCAGATAATCATCTCAATCTCAAATTAAGGAAAGAAATCCTGTTCTGATACTGTTCTTCACTTGAATGTGTTTCTTGTCAAAGTGTCAGAGGTTTTATTTCTTTTCTCTTTATGGCCTTAGCCAGGATACAGTACTGATATGAGGCATTTGTTTTAATAACCTGGTAAAAGTTAATGCAGTGTATAATAGACTCTGAATGGGTTTGTCTTGAGCAGTCCTCATTCACTTGCAGATAGGACATGTGATTTGCAGAGACAGTACTGAAAAGGAACTGTGTTGGGTTGAGATCTGATGCTGTCTTTTTAGCCACAGTCCTAGCAATGTTTTCTGTTTTAACTTTTCTCAAGTGGCATTAGCCACTGAAAGTATTAGAGAGAGAGAGACGTGGTGACATTTCAAATTTTAGTTGTCATATTTCACCATTGGTGAACCTTACTTTTTTGCAAAATATACTTATCTCCTCTTTCCTAAGGGTTAACCGCAGAAGATTCTAAATTGATTCAACTCTCTACTCCCAACCTCTCAGGTACAGTCTAATTTACACACTACATTACAGCATTTCTCATTTCGTTCTCTTTGGTAGGACATTCTGAGGGAAATTGTTGAGTAAGGCCTATTATCCTTTTTACCATTCTATCTATCACTGGTCATTCCATCCTCCCAATAACCCCTGCTACCAGAGAGCCTCCCTACCACATGCTAGTTTCTCAGGGAATGCTCTTCCCTAGAACTTCTGGATTCTTCTCCTTTCTCGGTAAATGACCCGTTTCCTTGATTCCAGGCCCTGTCCACAGCTGCATGGCAGCAATGGGCTTAATCAAAGAGAGCAACTTCAGTTAATGGAGAACCAAGCTGATTTTTTCCCCTCTCCTGGGTGATCTGCTGCGTTTAATGCCTTGACTCAGTAAAAAGCACTTGTCTCAGAAGGCCCCTGTGGAATGTAGAAATTAGAGCTGGTAGGAAAGGTATTTTTCTTTCCCATAGGCCTAATTGGTTTCTACAAATACTACTCAACAGAGAGAGATCAGAAGGAGGCAAGCCAGCCCCCACAGTGAGGACTGAGACGTTTTCTGCTGCTGGATGAGGGGATAACACTGAAGATTGTTTGATTGCCAATGTTGCTGCACCATTTTCTTTCTCCAAAAATTTTACACACTTAAAAAATATCGAAACAGCTTAGAACATGTTTTATTATTATTTTGGTTGGGGGAAGAAAGAGATAGGTATAGGAATTTTATTGAACTGTGTAATTTAAAATTATAGTTTTTTATGTTAATAAAAATAATGACGGATTTAGTTTATATGAAGCATGTAATGAAATCTGTTAACTGCTAAATTTTACTGTTAAATTTCACTTTCAGTTCCTTCCTCTCCTATACACACACACATATATACACACATGAGAAAAAAAAAACATTTCACAGAATAAACAGGACTCTTACAATATAATCAGAAAACTTCCCACCCTTCCCCCCTCCCCCGTACTTCCACACCAGGTTATTCAAAATCCTGTGGTCCTGAGTAAAATCTTTAGCAGACTTTCTGTCAATTCTTAGATAATAAGAAGTATTCACAAGAAAATTTATCTCAAGGTAATTAGTTTCATAACTGAAATGTCATGTCGTATTTTCTTTTTTGACTGTAACCTCTTTCCTTCTGTAATTCGGACTTGGTTCCCATGGGAAATCTTCATTGGGAAAGATGAGGAAGGCAATTTTGCATCTCTTTCTTCATTTTGCTCTCCAGTCCTCTCACCCTCCTCTGAGATTAGCAACCTCATCCATATGATGTCCTTTTCACGGCTGTCACAGAGGTCCTGGTGTAAGCTCAAGGGCACAAATGTTTTTCAATCTCTGATGCTTCAGATCTATTAACATCCCACTGGCCAAAGGAAAAGAAAACAATGCCAATGAGGCAGAAGATCTTTCAATGGAAGTAAGGGTAGCTGGGGGGACAGTAAATAGTTCTGAAAAGTAATTCCGTATACTATCACTGGGTAGCTCCTCCCCTTCAGCCTGAGCTTCACAATGAAATTAGGTGGAGCAGAACTGACCGAGGAGCCAACTTCACCTGGTCCACAGCTTAAGACAGAACTGTCCAGCTGACCCCAAACTGACCTCTAGCTGGCCTGCAGATGTGTGAGAACAATTGCTTATTTTGTGTGCTACTGATTTTGTAGTTACTTGTTATGCAACAATAGATGCCTGATAATGGCAAGACCCACAGCAACCCAGGCCAACTCATTCTCATATGACCCAGATCTGGTTTACAGGAAATATATACCTTTGCCCCACTCTGGGATTGTTGTTATGTCTCAAATACAGCCCTCTACTCTATGCTGATAAACTGCTTTGGCCAGTTTTAGACTCATTATAATTATTCAGGTGCAAATCTGTGCCTTGAATTTCTCAGTCACACATCAAGCTTTCTGAGTGGTCTTCCTGAAAACATCCTCATAAAAGGCTTGAGGAGAAGGGGAAGAACCTTCTACCAGTCCCTATGCTGGAGGACAGTTCAATAAAACTCCTACACTGCTGCTGGTTGTTCTTGGGACTCAGATGAAATGAGTACTCATCTGAGGTTCAAAAAACTGATATTGGTCACTCCTTTTGCACCTCTGTGACTGCCTTGAGAATGTGGGACTATTTGCTATTTATGGTTTTGAAACTTTAGTCAGAACTGATACAGAACGATTCCCATTTTCTATCCTGTTACACATACAAAAAAATCACATGTGCATGCACATACATAATGAGATCATGGTTTACAGATTGTTTTGCAGCTGACTTTTCATTTAATATGTTATGGGTATTTTCTGCCATTAAAAATTTATACTGCACACAGCCAGGTGCGGTGGCTCACACCTGTAATCCCAGCACTTTGGGAGGCCAAGGCGGATGGGTCACCTGAGAGTTTGAGACCAGCCTGGCCAACATGGGGAAACTCTGTCTTTACTAAAAATACAAAAATTAGCTGGACATGGCACCTGTAGTCCCTCCTACATGGGAGGCTGAGGCAGAAAAATCGCCTGAACCCGGGAAGTGGAGGTTGCAGTGAGCCGAGATTGCACCACTGCACTCCAGTTTGGGTGACAGAGTGAGACTCCGTATAAAAAAAAATTATACTACATCATTTTTAATTAGTTCACAATTTATCGTACAGTATCCTGTTCTGCACTTGGGTCATTTTTTCTTTTGTTTTTTTTTCTATTATATTATACACTGTAATAAACATACTATAACTTCACAGAAATTCTTAGTGCCGTATATCCAGTGGACTAAGCTTAAATTTAATTCTTATCATATCTTCTCTCTATTTCCATGTACTTTATTCATAACAGCTTTGGTATTTAAAATTTCTCTGTCTTTACCTTTCTATGTATAGAGATTATGATTTTAACTTTTCTTACATATTTGCTCTCAGTGAGAATAGAGCTTGTTTTATAGTCTAAGTGTCTTATTTTCCTTAAGTCAAGCCAATTGAGAGTAAATTAAAAACAATAAGGGTTTTCACAATGTGCTATATTTTAATGAAGCAATCACTTTCTTAGATATATCCATTAATCAGGTGTCTAGTGGGTACACAGCATTGTTCTTGGTGCAGAAGAGAATAAAGAAGAATTCTGTTACTGTCTGTATCACTAAAGGTCTAACTTCTTAGCCGACAATATAGATACACACAAAAATAAATAAATAATAAGATAATTATACAAGAAGTATATAATGGAACCGTATGAGGTACTAACATTCATTTAAGTTATCACTGTGGCTGAGGTACTATGATATATATAGTGTGACCTCCTAATTCAGATTAGAGATTTGAATCATTGTTTTGCCATTTATAAAATGGGTGACCTCTTTCAGGAGCCTTATATTTTTAAGGTTCAGGAATTTTGTCATTAAGAAGGGGCTAACAGTGCCATCCTAAAAGACTTGTGAATTTGACATGTTGTGCCTTAAAGTATAGGAACAAAATATATTGAGGCAGTTATAATTATATTTGAGCAGAGTTAGAAAACCAAATCAGATTTGTAAGATCACACCAAATTGTTATTTGATATTATTGAGGTAGTTCAATTTCCTCAAACTTATGTGTACAAAGTAGCCTTGTAAGTATAAAAAAAATTCTTCACTCACTAGGACTAATTTTGTGTTCCATATACATAAATCTTATGCTATCACGATTTTGGTGTTTTTTCTCAAGGTGAGCATATATAAACAAGAATCAAGGCTTTTTTTCCGAAATAGTTTACACAATATCTTATGAATAAATAAAATTTTTCATAATATTCTGAAGTTCATTACTTAAAAATAAATCACCCCATCTTAATGGGTACCAGTGTACACCTACACCATGTGGTTTCAGTCTATTTACAAGTTATAGAAAGAGTGATAAACATAACATCTCCCTAAATATATGCAGAGATATTGACCTCAACTGTCAGGCAATAGACATGAAATTGTTTTCAGTATCCCATGTGTGAGCCTGAATAATTTCATACAGTGTCTATAATAGATTGTAAACTTTTATATTTCAGCACTTTGAAAAATTTTTGCATAATTATAGAATTGAGTTTTGCTAGACCATCATATTGTAGAGCCCTCTTTTATTCCAATTGTTGAGACTGATGTAAAGAAATTGAGTTAGCAAACTTGTTTTCATGAAGCTGAAACTTTCAGGCTCATTAATCATGTAGGGGTGTTTTGTGTTTTTTTTCCAAGGTGAATGACATTAAATAGGGTAATTATAAAGACCCTTCTTCATGTAGGATTTTTTGTTTGTTTATTTCTAATATGCGTATTATGATATTTAGCAAAGATTTTAACCACAGGAGGGATGGGTAGTCACTTTTGTCATTTTCCAGACTGTTCCCTGGACAGTGAGAGCACAAAGGAAATGCACTTACCTTTATATATTCATGACATTTCATCCATTGACTTTCACACAGTTTCAAATTATGAGATTTAGAACATTCCACTACATTCAACCTGAGGTCAACACACTGGGACTTAAGAGAATTTTGTTATTTTGTAACCATTTTATCTCCATACCTCTATATACTGTACTGACCTTTTGTAATAAATGAATATGACAAAAGTGCAGTTGGCTGAAATCTACCAATTACCTCTTCATCTACAATGATGATCTCCTGTGTTCATGATTTGTTAACTTGGGAGTTTAGAAAATAATGTGAACTGATAGTCCTTTGCATATAATTCTGTATGTATGTTGTTGTGGAGGTGGAGAAAGCAATTAAATACTATTACACTCTATGCTAGTTGTGATGCAGTGGAAATGTGTTAGTCTGATTTGATTTTTAGACTTTAGGAAGGCATTTCTACAAATTCAGAGAAAATTATGATTTTATGTTTCAAAAGGAAAGTAACTTGAACAGGATTTTTTCTTTTATTTCCAGAGTTTGTTCTTTTAAAACATTTTTTAAAAATTGTAGATTCCCTGGGTACTTGTGCAGGTTTGTTACATGGGTGTATTGTGTGATGCTGAAGTTTGTGCTTCTAAGGATCCTGTCACTCCAGTAGTGAATATAGTACTCGATAAGTAGTTTTATAAGCCTTGCCTCTCTCTCTCCCTTCCCTCTTTTGGAATCCCCAGTACTAATTGTTTCCATCTTTATGTCTGTGTACCCAGTGTTTAGCTTCCACTTATAAGTGAGAACAAGCAGTATTTGGTTTTCTGTTTCTGTGTTAATATGCTTAGAATAACGGCCTCCAGCTACATCCATGTTGCTGCAAAGGACATTATTTTGTTCTTTTTTATGGCTGCATGTATTCCATGGTGTGTATGTACCACACTTGCTTTATCTAATCTATCATCGATAGGCACCTAGGTTGATACCACGAGTTTGCTATCGTGAATAGGGCTGTGATAAACATGTGAGTGCAGGTGTGTTTTTGGTAGAAATATGTATTTCCCATTGGGTATATACTCAGTAATGGGATTGCTGGGTCGAATGGTAATTCTGTCTTTAGTTTTTTTGAGAAATCTCCAAACTGCTTTCTACAAAAGCAGAACTCATTTGCATTTCCACCAGTGTATAAGTGTTCCTTTTTCTCTGCAACTTCTCCAACATTTGCTATTTTTTGACTTCTTAGTAATACCCATTCTGACTGATATCTCATTGTGGTTTTGAATTGCATCTCTTTGATGATCAGTGATGCTGAGCATTTTTTTACATTTTTTGGCCACTTGTATGTCTTCTTTCTAGAAGTGTCTTGAACATTAATTTTTCTGTTTAGATTTAGAAGAGAAAGGCAGGCCCAGGCATGATGTTTGGGGCTAGATGTGAAAAATGTTTTTTAAAAATGAAATACAGTAAATAAGTCTCATTTATTTGCCTGCAGCATTTCTCTGTTGGAGAGAATAAGCCTTACACTCAAAAGGCTAGAAAATTTTTTGATAATAGAGAAATGAAGTCAAGTTATTGAGGAGAAGGCAAATGTGCAAATGACTGCTGTAAATGACTTTGACTTTTCTTAACTAGATTAATTGCATTCTAGTGTCCTGAAGGAACTTATAAACTTATAGATGAAAAACAAACATAAAAGATGAAAAAATTATAGAGCAAGATACGAGGAATGGAAGATTGGACATCAGAAACTTATTCATACTTTCAAATGAAGTAAAAAATATATATCTATAAACATTAGATATATGGCTATAATCATAGAATATAACATTATAATATAAACAGATATATAAATATTAGAGAACATATAAACATTAGAGAATGGCTATAATCATAGAAAAGTTTCTAGAATGAATAATTAAAAGGATGAATTATGAGTACTTAGTACAAGTTGCTGTGATCAATGGGAGGAGCCAAAATGAGTTTATATATGGCATATTGTGGCAGATATTGTAGTTTGGCTTATAATCAACCTTTTTTTACCATCTCACTTCTTGTTGTTCCATATCACAGAGGGTCGGAAGTTAAATGTTTGATTTTTAGCCTCTTTTACAACTCAGGGTGGACATTTGACACATTTCTGACCTATGATATACAGGTAAAATTTGTTGCCACTGCTCTTCTGCCCTTTATCTTTCTTATTTCTTATTGCTGAGATAAGATGTAAGAATTGGAGGTATAGTATCTATCTTTGATCATGCAGTTATAAATCATCAAGCTAAGGATGAATGTAATTTAACAAATCTATACTGATAGTAATAAAACTCTGGGATGTAGTTTCAGATACTATAACTGAAAATGTATACAATGGAGAGGTATGGCTTAAGAGAAGTACACTGGAAAATACCTAATTTTTAGTTGATAGTAAACTTAATTCAAAGCAACATATGGTGTGAATTTACCTACAAAATCATAGTTCATGCTTTCGCTACACTAAATGTAATCGTTTTACATTCCACAATTATCTGACCATTTCTAGACCAAGCTAAAAGTCAGTGGAAGATGTCATGATGGCCTGAAACTATGACTGACGATAACTGATTATTTAGCTTATGGAAGAGGAGATTTAGGGAGCATGTGACTGTGGAGTTTAAATATTAAAAGGTCATAATTCAGAAGGGGAAGTAGACTTAATTTTAATGGCTCTAAAGTATAGAACTATGACTGGAGGCTAGAATTTATGAGACATTTTACCATAGGTTAGTAAAAGTTGAAATAAACTAGGTAAGCAAGTAGTTTATAATTTCTTAAAATATGCAAGTAGAAGTTGGATGTCCACTTGAAACAGATGTTGTAAGAATATTGTATTTGATAGGGTTTGAAATATATAGCTTCTAAGGTCCTTATCAATTATTGGATCCTTATCAGTTATATGCCTTGATGGTTATATAACACTGATCTCCGAACCCTAAAGAGCAATATTTGGTTTTGTAGGTGTTTACAATTAATCACATTTGTAGATGTGGTAATGGTTCTAGCAGTCAATAAACCTACTTCAGTAGATACGTATTTGTTTTAGCTTAAAATTTTGGCTGATATGGTAAGTTGATTCCCACTGTTTATGTTTTACCATTTTCCAAAATAAAAGATTACACATTTAAAGCTATTGGGCAAAAAGTTAACTGTTTGAGCTGTTAAGTTTGTTGCATGACTGTACCTTAAAGGCCAAGATTATATAATGTAATTTATACTAAATAGAAAAGCAAAAGGAAACACTTTTGGCAATAATATGTACCTTTGAATACTTCATCAGTGGTCTTAATGGTGCATCAGTTAAGAAAGAGACTGGATAGATGAGGTGAGGCTGAAAGTCTCAGAACAGCTTTAGTAGATACCCTAGATTGACTCTTTAAATTCAATTCTGTCCTCATTAGAGTGGGAAAGATTGAAAAGCTGAAGGCTGCATTTCCCAGATTCCACTGTGTCAGGGATTCTGGAGGCAAAATATTCTCACCACTTAGATTCATCTGTGTGATTATTAGAGAGTGGAAAGGAAGCAAAGGGCATCTTTTGATCTGCATTTAACTGTTTTCCCTGGCCGATATGGTTATGGAATCAGTGGGTTTCCTGCAGCAATATTTAGGGCCCATTCTATGGACTCCTAGGAGTCCTGTGGCAGGGGCATGCCAGTGCAGCTAATGATTCCATCTAGCTCCAGAAGCATCCCCAGGGTTAGTAACTCTGTATAATTTTTGTGAGTTATTCCTGGAGGCTCAGGCTTTGATTTGCTGCTTCAACTGTTCTAATATTTTGAGAGTTCTTAATTCTGTTTATAATCTTTTCCTGCTGAACATATCTGGAATGTTTTCTGCATTGGACCATGATGATTATTCATAACTAAATACAAAATAAAAATGACTAGGCAGTAGTTGTGGTGCTTCCTGGCATGTTATAAATGATTCAGCTACACTAAGATTTCCACAACTGTGTCCTGACTACATCATGGTACATCATCTTTACCTCAGAACCTTGGCACATGTTCTGCCTGGGTCTAAAATATGATATTCCAAGTTCTTAGCTCGACCATCTCCATGTTATCTTTTAAGTCTCAGCTAAAGTACTCCTCAATATAGACTCAACTTTGACTTTGACCTCTAACCCTTACCTCTGATTTCTGGGATCTCCTAGTGTCCCACACTGCCCACTTCTTGCCTTGATCATAGGACCCCTGTCTTGCTACACAAAGGCTTGTCTTTGCCCCCACACTGAGCTTTTTGAGTGTCAGTGCTAAATCTTTTATCTTTAGACATAGCACAGTATCAGACAAATGGAAAACAGTTTATAATGTTCATTACATGAATTTATGCATAATTAATGCACAGCTGAGTGGAATATAAAAAAGACACAAAAATATTCATGATTTTGAACTCCTTTGCACAGTTGATGCTCAAATGTTTTAGAAATCTTGAGGAAATGTATGTTGCAATATTTAAGAAAGAAGAATCATAATGTTCGCAACTTCAAATGATTCAGATGAAAATATATAACAAATATGGTAGAATAACAAAAATTATATCTAGGTAAAGGTCTCATGAGTGTTTATGGTGTTATTCCACTTTTCTGCATATTTGGAAATTTCTGTAATAAATTGAGACAATATGAAAATATAACAAAGGAAAAATATGAATATATGTGTGTTTATACATCACACACACAGACATACATATGTACACAAACTTTCTCCAACAAATTTGATAAAACCTACATGCAATATTCATAAGATTTGTGTTTTGGGGTGTGTGTGTGCACATGTATGTGCGCATGTGTGTATGTGTGGTGGAAAGGAATGTTAAATAAAACTCAGAAAAACTCAGGTGAAGTACATAAAGGAGTTTTGTTACAAAGGGAATTTTTAAAATAAACATATGTAAATGCAATCAAAAAATCATTATTCTATGTTACATTTTGCTGTGGGAAGTCAGGGACCCCAAATGGACGGACCAGCTGAAGCCATGGCAGAAGAACGTGGATTGTGAAGACTTCATGGACATTTATTAGTTCCCCAAATTAATACTTTTATAATTTCTAACGCCTGTCTTTACTGCAACCTCTGAACATAAATTGTGAAGATTTCATGGACACTCATCACTTCCCCAATCAATACTGTTGTGATTTCCTATGCCTGTCTTTAATCTCTTAATCCTGTCATCTTTGTAAGCTGAGGAGGATGTATGTCGCCTCAGGACCCTGTGATGATTGCATTAACTGCACAAATTGTTTGTAGAGCATGTGTGTTTGAACAATATGAAATCTGGGCACCTTGAAAAAAGAACAGGATAACAGCAATGTTCAGGGAACAAGAGAGATAACCTTAAACTCTGACCGCCGGTGAGCTGGGTGGAACAGAGCCATATTTCTCTTCTTTCACAAGCAAATGGGAGAAATATTGCTGAATTCTTTTTCTCAGCAAGGAACATCCCTGAGAAAGAGAATGCGTCCCTGAGAGTAGGCCTCTGAAATGGCCACTTCAGGGGCGGCCATCTTTTATGGTCACAGCTGTAGGGATGAAATAAGCCCCAGTCTCCTGTAGTGCTCCCAGGCTTATTAGGACGAGGAAATTCCCGCCTAATAAATTTTGGTGAGACCATTGTTGCTCTCAAACCCTGTGTCCTGATAAGACATTATCAATGACAATGCATGCTCGCAACTCCATTAGCAATTTTAATTTCGCCCCAGTCCTGTGGTCCTGTGATCTCGCCCTGCCTCCATTTGCCTTGTGATATTCTATTACCTTGTGAAGCACGTGATCTCTGTGGTCCACACCCTATTCATACACTCCCTCCCCTTTTGAAAATCACTAACAAAAACTTGCTGGTTTTGCGGCTCAGGGGGCATCATGGAACCTGCCGACATGTGATGTCTTCCCAGGACACCCAGCTTTAAAATTTCTCTCTTTTTGAACTCTGTCCCTTTATTTCTCAGACCGGCCGACACTTAGGGAAAATAGAAAAGAACCCAAGTGAAATATCGGGGGTGAATTTCACCCGATATCTGGCTGAATTTCCCCCGATAACATTTGTTGTAGATGCTCATCACAATGCAGAATGAAGGTTGTGTATTGGCCACAGTCTAACCAAATGTCTGCAAAGCTCTTTTAAATCTATTTGAAACATGTAAGTTATCTAAAACTTACATATTTGGCCTTCTGAAAAGCCCAGTGATCTGGAAACTCATATTCATGTGAGGATGAAGTGCCTAGGGGTGTGTAGTGGTTGTTACCTTGACATAGTGACATGTTGTCAGTTCAGCATCCCTTCAGTCCAGTTCTCTCTTCTCACTCCAGCTTCTCTCAAACTCAGACCAAGTATCTGTTGCCCTTTCATCATAGTGTGTGTAACTGTTGATTGTTTTTCCCTTGTACTCTGTAAAAGATGGGGAGGTGAAGTGTGGGAAACCAGGTAGTTGGAGAGGGCCACATGAAATATAGGGAAATATATTTTGGTGGAAATGAATGATATCCCTATGTGTTTAATATGCAAAAGTGTCTTTTAAAAAATACCACCTGGACAATACAATTCATTCAAATTGTCTGCCTGACTTTTGCAGGGATTTGAATTGACAATCCTAGAAAAAGAGAGAAAAAAATCCTTTTCGATAACAAATGTTACATGTTCTATTCCACATTGTTATTTAAAGGCTAAAGTAAAGATGAACGTATTATGTGCCAGACACTATTTGAAATGCTTTAGATGTTTTCAGTCAGTCCTCATGGCAACTCAAGAATCTAAGAATGGCTACTAGCTTTATTTTAGAGTGGAGGAAACTAAGCCATCGAGTATAGTATTTTGGTGGTTAAGTAAATCACCCAAGGCTCAACATTCCAAGTTAAAGGAAAGATTCAGTTCCTTTGATCATAGAGGCTATGCTCTAAATCACTATGCTATAGAATGCATGCTTACAATAGAATTTCTCTTTACTTCTCTCTCTTTTTTTTTTTTTTTTGCAAACTCCGCCTTCTGGGTTCAAGTGATTCCCCTGTCTTAGCCTCCCGAGTAGCTGGGACTACAGGCATGCGCCGCCATGCCCAGCTAATTTTTGTATTTTTAGAGAGACGGAGTTTCACCATGTTGGCCAGGATGGTCTCAATCTCTTGACCTCGTGATCCACCCGCCTCGGCCTCTGAAAGTGCTGGGACCACAAGTGTGAGGCACTGCACCCGGCCACTCGCTTTAATTTTCTAACTAAAATATATTTTAAAAGAGTACAGTACCTCCTAGGGCACTTCTAATGCACTGACAGTTTCTGGACTTAGAGCCTAAAGATACACAGAAATTTGTCTGAATACCAGACCTTGCAGTTAGAAGAATTGACTATTCTACAATTGAATTATCTGATCCAAAATTAGTATTCATTCCTGTCTGTTTAAAGAATTAGTAATCATTAAGTAATTTGTGCCCCTGAGGGAAAAAAGCTATACTCTAAAGAAAAAAGCTATACTCTAAAGAAAAAGCAGTCCCCCAAATATCTTATGGGTATTTCCCTTCTTCGAAATGAAGCCTTGAACAAAATGTTTATCAATTCTCACTCCATCTTTCCCATATATCCAAATGTGTTTGATTGGAAAGTGAACATCAGAATTTTTTGAACAGAGCTGTTTTAACTTGTGGAATTCTAGGGCAAACTTCACTCTGTTTACTCAATCCTCTTTCATAAAGATGCCTTTTTGGAGAAGAACAAAATATTTCCTTACATTGTCTGATCAAGCTTTTTAATTGGTGCCCATGAAGTAAATTCTCATGACAATTCTCATCATTTGAGAGTCAAGTAGACCCTTCTACCTCTGCTAATTTAGAAACTGCTATTACCACCACATTTCTAGAAATATTTTCTTTTCCACCATATAGGAAATTACATGTCAATTTTAAAATACCAGCGTACATATTTTTAGTCAAATCTAGCTTTACATGACACTTCATTGAAGTAAGAAATGTAAGACAAAAAGAGGCTTATATCTCCTTTGCATGTCAAGTATGAAATCATTACTTGAATCATTTCAGATGAAAATCACCCCATGGCAGACACAACTAAAACAATAGCACTTAATTCATAAGTTTCACACCATTTATTTGAGAGAAAAGATTGTGGAAAGAGAGAGTCAGACATTGGACATTTTAATGGCATGTATTGCCAAGAGCCGAAATATCATAGCAGTGAGGGAATTATATTTTTGAGGCTACAGAGTAAAGTCTATAATATCAATTTTACTCCCAATGAGTGGAAGTTAGGTTATGCTAAATTTTAAAGCCAGTGACCTGTCCTAGATTTTCCTAAAATTGCTTTCCATTGTATAATATCGCTACATTCATATTGCACAGAATTTTATATTTAACAAATGAAGTATTACGTCCAAGTCTAGATGTTGGATATTCAGTTCTCACAAGCATTGCAGTGTAGTCACTGTGTGTACTACATTTTTAGACTAGGTGTTACTTGAAGTTTCAGACTGCAGCAGGGAAGTTAAAATTCAGGAACTTTCTTAGTAGAAATAAAGGTAATTTATCCCTGTTGTGAATAGCAAGGTTTTTTTCTTTCTTTTAGAGGGAGTAAAGATATACCTCATTTAATTGCGCTTCACTTTATTGCACTTTGCCGATACTGTGTTTTTTTACAAATTGAAGGTTTGTGGCAACCCTGCATAAAGCCAAGTCTATCGGTGCCATTTTTCCAACAGCATATGTTTACTTTCTGTTTCTGTGTCATGTTTTGGTAAGTATTGCAATATTTCAAACTTTTATTATTATTTATCTGTTATGGTGATCTGTGATCAGTGATCTTTGATGTTACTATTGTAATTGTTCTGGGGCACCTTGAACTATACCCATATGAGACAATGAACTTAATTGATAAATATGCATGTTCTGACTGTTCCACCTGCCAGCCATTTTCCTGTCTCTCTCCCTCTCCTCAGGCCTCAATACTCCCTAAAACACAACAATATTGAAATTGGGCCAATTAATAATCCTACAATGGCCTCGAAGTGTTTAAGTGAAAGGAAGAGTCACATATCTTTCATGTTAAATCAAAAGCTAGAAATGATTAAGATTAGTGAAGAAGGCATGTCAAAAGTTGAGATAGGCTGAAAGATAGGCCTCTTGTGCAAACAGTTAGCCAACACTATGTATGCAAAGAAAAAGTTCTTAAGGAAAATTAAAAGTGCTTCTCCAATGATAAGAAAACAAAACTTAAGCCTTACTGCTGAGATGGAGAAAGTTTTAGTGGTCTGAGTAGAAAATCAAAACAGCCACAATATTCCCTTAACCTAAAGCCTAATCCATAGCAATGCTGTAGCTCTCTTCAATTTTATGAAGACTGAGGGAGGTGAGGAAGCTGCAGAAGAAAAGTTGGGAATTAACAGAGGTTGGTTCATGAGGTTTAAGGACAGAAGCCATCTTCATAACATAAAAGTTCAAGTGAAGCAGCAAATGCTGATGGAGTTGCTGCAGCAAGTTATCCAGAATATCTGGCTAAGATCATTGATGAAGGTGGCTATGCTAAACAACAGATTTGCAATGTACACAAAAGAGACTTCTTTTGGAAGAAGATGCCATCTAGAATTTTCATAGCTAAAGAGAAGTCAATGTCTGGCTTCAAAGTTTCAAAGTACAGCCTGATTCTTTTGTTAGGGGTTAATGCAGCTGGTAACTTGAAGTTGAAGACCATGCTCATTTTCCATTCCAAAAATCCTAGGCCCCTCAAGAATTATGCTAAATCCACTCTGCCTGTGCTCTATAAATGGAACAAAGTCTGGATGGTTGTTCCTCTGTTGATACCATGGTTTAATGAATACTTTAATCCCACTGTTGAGAATTACTCCTCAGAAAAAATACTCCTTTCAAAATATTACTGCTCATTGATAATGTTCTTGGTCACCCAAGAGCTCTAATGGAGATGTACAAGTAGATTAATGCTTTTATCATGCCTGCTGACATAATATTATTCTGCAGCCCATGGATCAAGGAGTAATTTCAACTTACAAGTATTATTTAAGAAATGCATTTCTGGTGGCAGGCACCTGTAGTCCAGCTACTTGGGAGGCTGAGGCTGGAGAATGGCATGAACCCAGGAGGCGGAGCTTGCAGTGAGCCGAGACCGCGTCACTGCACTCCAGCCTGGGTGACAGAGCGAGACTCTGTCTGGAAAAAAAAAAAAAAAAAAAAAAGAAATGCATTTCATAAGGCTGTATATGTCTGTCACAGATAGTGATTCCTCTAATAGATCTAGGCAAAATAAATTGAAAATCTTCTGAAACGCATTCACCATTCTAGATGCCATTAAGAACATTTGTGATACATGAGAGGATACCAAAATACCAATATTGACAGAAGTTTAGAAGTTGATTCCAACCCACATGAATGACTTTGAGGGGTCATTCCTTCAATGAAGGAAGTACCTTTGAAGGGTACTTCCTTTGGTGGTACCTTGAAAGGTACTTCCTTCTGTGAAGAAAGTAACTGCAGATGTAATGGAAATAGCAAGAGAACTAGAATTAGAAGTGGAGGCTGAAGATAAGCCTGAATTGCTGCAATCTCATGATCTAACTTGAATGGATGGGGGGTTGCTTCTTATAAATGAGCAAATAAAGTGGTTTATTGAGATGGAATCTACTCCTGACAAATATTCTGTGGATTGTTGAAATGATAACAAAGAATTTAAAATATTCGTTAAACTTACTTGATAAAGCAGTGGCAGAGTTTAAGAGAATTGACTCCAATTTTGACAAAAAGTTGTACTGTCTAAAATGTTATCAAACAATATTACATACTGCAGAAGAATCTTTTGTAAAAAAGGGTCAATTGATGCAGTAAACTTCATGGTCTTATTTTAAGAAATTGCCACAGCTAGTCCAACCTTCAGCAACCACCACCCCGATCAGTCAGCAGCCATCAACACTGAGGCAAAACCCTCCACCAGCAAAAAGATTATGACTTGCTGAGGGCACAGGTTATAGTATTTTTTTTTAGCAATAATGTATTTGAAATTAAGGTATGTATACTGTTTTTTTAGACATAAGGCTATTGCACACTCAGTGTACTACAGTATGGCGTTAATATAACTTTTATAGGCACTGGGAAACAAAAACATTTGTATGACTTTGTTTATTGTGATATTCGCTTTATTGTGGTGGTCTGCAACTGGACCTCCAATATCTCAAAGGTATGCTTGTATTCAATATTCGATGTCAGTTTTTTCTGGAAGGGGGAGGCACATTTTAAATGCTGCAGTACATTTATTAATTTAGAATCTGCTATGAAATATTTTTATGATTAATATATGTAATCACAATTGTGGGATATATTACTGTTTTTAAAGAACAAATTTTAAGTGTCAAATATTTTTCCCAGGCTTGAACATTTATATTGGTACACAGAAATAATTCACTAGTATCTCAGTATGTCATTAAGAACAACTGAAAGGAAAGACTGTTTTGGCCCCCATCCCTGTTGACTTAGTTATTGATATAGCAAAATATCTCATTATCGAGTATTCATGTCCAGCACTGCAAAGATTACCTTTTCTTTGAACCTCCTCCTGCTTTTGCTTCTGTTTCTTCATCAACTATTCCTATTCCCTTTTCCTGACCCATATATTCCAATTAATTGCTAAATCTAGACCATTCTCTCTCCTATCATCTTGTTTCCTTAGTTCAGGACTGAGGTATCTCTCATCTAGACCACTGCCACAGTAGGTGGTTCTTATTCCTTTGATTATAGAAGGATGGCATGGAAATAATAAGATTCATAGGAATAAAGAAATACATGTTCCCCATTACAGTAAATGACACGTAATTCTAGGACTTGAGATATCTTTAAGGATCATATAGAAGGAAAACCCAGCAAAACACAGGGGGAATAAGTGTATGCTTTTGAGAGAAACATAAGCCAGATTCACCTTCCTGTTCTGCTACTTCCTATGTAATTTTTAGCCATTTATTTACATTTTGTCAGCCTTGGTTTTCCTGTTTTTAAGGTATAATAAAACTTATAAATAGTAGTCATGTCATTTAAGTAAAAATAATTGATAAGATATCCATACAATAGGTCTCCAGGAGAAAGGAGGTCTACTATTCTTAAAAAAAATCACCCCTTTTCCATATTATGTTCTGAAATATATATATATCCACTCATAACAAACAAACAAACCCAAAACACAACTCATACAAATATTTATATAGTTTTTTAACAAGTATTCTAAGGAACAGCTTGCATCTTATCATTCTCATGTTAAAATATGATTATCATATATAAATAAACAATATACTTCCTCAGGAGAGCAGCTTCAAATTCAGAATTTGGTAACTGATTTGAGAGTTTTTCCTGCTGTCTAACCTGTATTCCTTATGTTTCAATATCAACCATATTTCTTTTGCTTCATATTTCTTAAGAATGAAGCAAGTACTAAAGTGCAGGTTTCCCTGAACTAGAATTAATTTATCTTCTGTATTTGCTTTCTCCTTCAGGAGTTATCTTGTGATGACTGAGCAAAACATTATTTTATGGTCTTGCAACATTTGCATTCGTTAGCACTCCATTATAGATAAATATAGTCTTTGCCTCTAAAGTGAAGTAAATGAAAAATAATGTAAGCTCCCATGATGGATCAGGTCAAGGCCTTAATCTAAGTTTCCTTCAGCAACTTGCCTTCTATACTGTAAAATTTCTTGTGGCATGGTAAAATGTTTCATATTTCATGATTTTTGGTATCTCCAAAATCCCTATATCCTAGGGTGCTACATCATTGAAACTTGCAGTTGCTTGTTGTTTAGATTTTTTTTTCTTTTTTTTTTTTTTTAGTAGGAGTCTCACTCTTTCACCCAGGCTGGAGTGCAGTGGCGTGATCTCGGCTCACTGCAAGCTCTGCCTCCCGGGTTCACGCCATTCTCCTGCCTCAGCCTCCCGAGTAGCTGGGACTACAGGTGCTCGCCACCACGCCCAGCTAACTTTTTTTCTGTATTTTTAGTAGAGACAGAGTTTCATCCTGTTAGCCAGGATGGTCACGATCTCCTGACCTCGTGATCCGCCCACCTTGGCTTCCCAAAGTGCTGGGATTACAGGCGTGAGCCACCGCGTCTGGCCTAGATTTTTTTTCTTTTAATTTGTTGGGTGAGTTAAAGAAAAGTAAGATGAGCTACACACTTGCCTTTTAGTATGATTAATCCAAATAAATTCCCCATGTCTTTTAATTCCTTAGAGGTCTAGTTTGTGCTTTTGGAATTTACATCCTGTGGCTTTTTTCTTTTGGCATATTCTTTTGGTATTCTTTCTTGAGAAGTATCAGATCTTTCCAGGTCCCCTTTTGCATTTGGATAAGATCTCTGCAGAAATCTAAGTCTCTAGAAAGAAGATTAATAGAAAAGAACACAGTCATAATGTAATCTCAGCTGGTGGGGAGGAGAAGGATTGTTTTTTCTTTCCTTTGTATTGGTCAAGAACTAACTAGTATGCAAGCTGGTGTTGAAACGGTAGTATACTACCGAAATGATTTTCAAAATGAGAATTTCCGTTTGTTCAATTCTTTTTCCTCGTTTCTATGTGTGTCTTCTGTTGTCTTTTGTTTAATTTAACCTTGGTTCTTTATTAAGAAAACAATCATCACTAGGGAAAGCATGCATGCTCATTTCACATCTTTTAGTGCTTGAAAAACATTAACATATCCATTTCTCTTCTAAATAGAACCTTCTGAAATAACTTGGGCAGAATTTGTGTGAATGGAAACTCATTTGTTTTAATTACACAACCAGTGCAAAAGAAGTTCTAACATGTTCTTTTATAATTCTTTGCATCCTGTATAAGAACACACATCCTATACAGACACTCTCATTTTTCAATTACAAGAGGATAATAGTTCCGTTTTCAAATTTCATTGGTCTCTTGATTCTTTCTTCACCGTAAATTTCTTTCAGTTTATTTTGACAAAAGATTTATTAATTCTCACCTTTTTATTGATATCATTCTTCACAATCCTACTACTGACTATTGTTATCTTAAAGCCTGTGACCCTTCCAATTCTAATTAAGAAAATTAAACATGTTTTATCAGCTTGAGCTATTCCAAGAAAGTTACAGAATGATTCAGTTTTACAAATCTTTTCTCACAGCCACATACATATAGGTTGAGAGTCCTGATGATCAAGCACAGACTGGGCTCTCTGGGGGCTCAGAATCCAGTGGAATAGATAGACCAGTAAATTGGCAATTAAAATGTATGCTGGTAAGAAGGGCTAGGGCATCCCTGTTTCCTCCTCGTAGCTGCACTCATGCTGGGACCAATCATCACCCACCCCTGGGCCTTATTTTTAGGACAACTTTTCCTTTTATTTATTGCCTTCTTCATACTCAGCCTTCCAAAGTTTATGGGAGCTGAGGAGACTCATGTTGATATCTGATGAATTCTCGGGGAACTGAGGCATGTCTTATTCTCAGTACTTAGTATAGTACCTGGCACAGAGTATGCTCTCAGTAGAAGTTTGTTTACTGAATCACTGGATCTTGACAGCATTAGTAATGAATAGCTGCATTCAGAGAAGCCTCTAGGCCAAACTCTTAGCAGGATAGTATTCGGTTGGCTCCTCTATTTTTCTTTCTGTCATCACACACTCTGACTTTTTATGTAACAGGTATAGTGTGATAGAATCTAGTCATCTGGGACTTCCCAATTCCTACCTATCCCACTGACCTTCATCTTTTTTTTTTTTTTTTCAGATGTGACTTCTCAGGTTGTGTCTATTTGAATCTTTGATTCAGAGACTTTCAGAGATATTCTGGCAAATACTTATATTTTGATAGTTATCTGTAGTACTTAGCCCATTAATTTAAAAATTTCAGGCAATATATTTTTCAGGGCTAATAGAAGATATATATTTAAGTATTTAAACTCTAAAAGACAACCTCAGCAGCATTATTACCATCAACTCAATATTTAACATTTACTGAATGTATTCTGTTTGGTAAAACTATATTAACTGTGTGACATTCATTACCTTGTATATTCTTCACAATATTTCTATAAGAAAAGTGAAGCTCCAAGAGATTATAACACATGTTCCAGTTAACATGGACAGAAAGTGTTAGAGGTGGAATTGGAACATATGTTACCTGACTAAAGATTCTGCATGCACCACTACTATGTTATGTCACCAGACCCCACTCATCCACCTTGCCTACTCTTCTGGGTATGCTATAGTAGCACTTTCTCTAATTTTTTATAATTTTAAAGCAAATCAGTTGTGTTTCCAATTGACTGGCTTGACCTTCAGCAGTAGTTCTTACTGAAAATATGTATGCCATTAAAGTAATTCACAAAGCTCTTGGGCATTTTTGGACATAAGCACTTGCATGCCTTTTGGTAGAATATCATTTCTTTATTAAAATTCTATTAAGATGACAGAGAAAAAAAAAGTAAGTTAGTTACACTCATCTTGGCAATGACTTATCCTGAGAGAAAGCTCAGCATGTTAGGTCTTCAGATGCTTTATGAAATTGAAAGAAAAAAAATAGCCCTCATTGATCTTCTTACTGTAAGATATCAGATTTAGTATAAAGCTTTCCTTCCTTCTTTATGACAATTGGCAAGAACTATCTGTATCCTACTTTACTGTTTACATAGCTTTACACAACTGGAATTAGAGTCAAAATTTATAGGCAGAAAAAGTGACAACTCTTATAGATAACTATTCCTCTATCCCTCCAACAAAGCAGCAAGGGTATAGAAATTGAAATTGAAACATACTCGAGTCCTTTAGGAGGCCTGTGCTTTAAGGCTCAAGAGACACTAAAGGATTTCTGAAGCAGGGAAGCCATTTTGTAAATCTGATGTTTCTATTAGCTGTGATTTTCTTTAAATAGTCTCCCATTTAATTTTCTCTCTTCTGCATGAGCAGTAATTCAGTGACAACTTTTTCAATCCACATAGGTATATTTAGGCATGCTGAGGAATACAGCTGCTTTTGGCTCATAGCGTAGGCTTCTATCCAGTGCCCCGAACTGCTTTCAGAATTTACTTTTCCATTAATAAGTCCTTTCACACCATGGAAACCATGCAGGGGGTTTGTAGAGAGAGTTTTTTTTTTTTTTTTTTTTTTTATGAAAAAGTCTGAGTCTAGCATAGCTATGAAGGACTAGATAAATGGACTGAAACCAGTAGCTACATGAGACATTTGGTAAAGTAAATCAACACAGCGGGGATTCCCTCTTCTCAATTGATCTCAAACTTATTTGAGAATTTTTTCTTTTATCCATCAACATTTTTTCAAATATATTCTTCAACGTTGCTCTCTGTTTGTAGTAGAAAGCCTGTCTTCTGTTAAGTGTGTTTATTTTCACTGTATCCTCTGTGTTTTCAGGAGAAGGTTGGAGAGAAGCAAGGCAGAGGCATATTGAGAAAAAGTCTCCAGATCAATTTTGAGTGAAAAATAAGGATAAAATGAGAATGAAGAAATCCAAGGTTTTTCCTAGTTTGTTTCTTACTTTCATTCATTAATTCATTCATCCTGGTCAGTCAGTGAGTCAGTCAGTCAACAGATATTTATTTGGTGCCTACTATGTGTCAGGAACTCTTGAAGACACTGAGGGGGCAGATAAAGAAGGCAAGACTGGCCACTGTCCCTGGAAAGCTTAAAGTTGTGCCTTTATTGCTAACTGTGTGGATGCTTTTAAAAAAGTAAGTTAATCTCTCTCGACTTCAGTTTCCTCATATGTAAATGAGATGGCTTATTAGATGACTTGATTCTAGGATTCCAGGGCTTAATTAGCTATTACACCCTGATATGACCAACTCAAATCTAAAATTTGAATAAAATAAAAAGGAATTTCTGTTCCCACAATATCCTCTCATTCCCAGCCCTTACACTACCAAGGAGAGTTTAAAACGTTTGATACTAATGTATTCAGGTTTTACTACAGGGATACTTTCACATATTTAACTTTAATTCCACATTTTTTATGTTCTATTTTTTCACTGGCTGGTCAACATTATTTGCTTAAGTCTTAGGAGTAGGAGTAGCAATAACTTCCTTTTGAAAAGGAATTTTTGTCACTGTAAGCCACAATAAAGAGAGGTAACATGTCTTGATCACCTACCCTGTGCCAGGCCTGCAGCTTGGCATTTATAACCAATCTTCCACTTAATCCTAATGGTAAAATAATTAGCTGAAATCCTTTAACAAACAAGGGATGAAACCAGTATTTGAGCCCAGGTCCTCTATTTCTAGAGCCAGCATTTTTAACCATTATTGTATATTCAAGTGGGGAAAGAGACTCAGAGGAGGTGATATTTTGGGAATGAGTGACCAACTATTCTGGTGTGCCAAGGACTGTGCTGGTATTAGTATGGGAGGACTTGCATACTGGGAAAGCCCAAGCAAGCTGGGGAGAAAGAGTCCTTAGTTATTAGATTGGTGCAAAAGTGATTTTGGTTTTCGTCATTACTTTTAATGTTTAGAATGGAAATAACTGAACACATTTAAGAGTATCCATCCTCTGAGGCTTAGAAAAATTTTAATGACTACTTTACAGAAATGTGTTTTGCATTGTGATATTTTGAAATAAAATTTTTCATTTTAATGATAAAGAGGCATAAGTCACCCTTATATAGTTTAAATAAATAATGTACTTTGTTTTATAA